>NC_000010.11:1676666-1828181 GCF_000001405.40 Homo sapiens | reverse complement strand
GCTGAATAGTGAGGGTCTCAGTTGCTCTATGCCCCCCCAACACTGCCATTGTCACCATTTTGATTTTACTTCTCCTAATGAGTGCATAGTGGTGTCTCATTGTGATTTTAATCTGCAATTCCAGAATGATTTCTGATTTGGGGAATTTTTAAGTGCTTTTTGACCATTCGTAGACCTTTCTTTTCTCTTTTTTAACTTTTATTTTAAGTTCGAGGGTACGTTTGCAGGTTTGTTACATGGGTAAATTGAGTGTCACTGGGGTTTGGTGTACAAATGGTTTTATCACCAAGGTAGTCAGCACGGGAACCAATAAGCAGTTTTCAAATGATTTTATTGCCCAGGTAGCCAGCATGGGAACCAATAAGCAGTTTTTCTAGCCTTGCCTTCCACCCTCCCTCCACCATCAAGTATGCTCCGGCATCTATTGTTCCCTCTTTGTTTCTATGTGTACTCGATATTTAGCTCCCGCTTCTAAGTAAGAATGTGTAGGATTTGGTTTTCTGTTCCTGCATTAATACACTTAGAATAATGACCTCCAGCTGCATCAGTATTGTTGCAAAAGATGTGATTTTGTTCTTTCTTATGGCTGTGTAGTATTCCATGGTATACATGTACCACATTTCTTTATCCAGTCTACTACTGATGGGTATCTAGGTTGATTCCATGTCTTTGCTATTGCAAATAGTGCGAAGTGTCTTGTGTAGAATTTAGGGAAATTATTACAACATTTATTTGGCTCATTAATCAGCAAATCAGTTAATTCTTAGCAGGGAGAGCTTATCTCAGCTGCCTGACACCACTGGAGTGGAACAGGCTGTGGACTGGGATCTTCTTGAGGCTCACTGTTCGGTGTTTGTGGTAGTTGAGGCTGGTGGTAGCTTCAAGCTCTTAGTGGGAACTGTTGGCCCTGATGCCTCCACACATGGCCTGAGCTTCCTCCCAACATGGAGGCTGGGTACAAAGGGCAGTTGTCCTGAGAGAGAAAGACCTGGCAGAGACATTTTGCTGTCTATGACTCAGTCTCACTTCTACCACCTTCTATCAGTCAAGGCAGCCAAAAAAGGACAGCCACATTTCTATGAAAAGGGCAAGAGAATCAGCCTCTTGGTGGGGGAGCAGCACGATTCTGGAAGAGGACTGGAAGTATTGCTGTGGCCACATTAGAAAATACAATCCACCCCAGATGTTGCAGGAAGTCAGAGACCCCGAACAGAGGGACCTGCTGAAGCCGTGACAGAAGAATATAAATTGTGAAGATTTCATGGACATTTGCTAGTTCTCCAAATTAATACTTTTATAATTTCTTACACCTGTCTTTACTGCAATCTCTGAACATAAATTGGGGTGTTGCCAGAAGTCAGAGACCCTGAATGGAGGGACCTGCTGAAGCCGTGACACCCAGGGATGTCCAAATCTGTTGCTCATTTTCACTGACTCGTTCTGTGGACATGTTTTTATTTGTGGTAGGAAATAGGAGTGAAATTATCAAGCAATTGGATTGATTTAACTGTATAAGAATTTGTCAAATTGCTTTCAAATAGTTTTGCCGTTTTTCAGTCCCCCAAGCAATGGACAGAGTTCCACTTTCTGAAAACATTGCCAGCACTTGATGTGGGCAGTCTTTCCATTTCAGCCAGTCTAATGGATGTAAAGTGGTGTCTCCTGGTGGTTTTAATTCACAGTTTTCAGATAAACAGTGCTTAGGAGTATCAAAGATTATTGCTCGTGTGACTGTCACATGTCACAGATACATTGTCTAAATGTAAACTCTGATGGAGTATGAGAAGTATACTTTTTAAGGGATCAACAACAGTGAAAGGAATGTGGAGAAAGTGAATTAAGCAGAGGGAGAAGTTGAATTGAGGTGCAGGCTTGACGAGGTCTCAGTGGACCTAGCAGGGACTTCCAAAGTAAACATGGACGATAAGCTGTGTCCCCTTGAGCCTTGGATGGCCATGGCCTCAGGCAGGGCAGCTCCTCGCAGCTTGGCAAACCCGATGCCCAGGGGCTGCCCGCTAACCACTCTTCTAGAAAGTGGTGGCACGTCCTTCCTCAGGGAGTCCACGCCAGTGTCTCCACATGGGCCGTGCCCCTGTCTCCATCACTCATGGCCATGCCAAGACCCTCTCTTATAAATTTACATCTGCTGCCCAATGTCATTGGGTTGTTTGAATTTTCATCCCTCCCATGGGAATTCTTCATATATCTGGATACAAATCCTGTATCAAATGTGTGTTTTACAAATATGTTCTCTGAATCTGTGATTTGACTTTTCATATTCTTATTATTATCTATTGAAAAAGGGATATTTTAAATATTTATTTCCTTTTTGTTTATTGTTTTTGTGTAATATATAAGAAATAGTTGGCCTCAAAGTCTCAAAAATATTCAATTTTTTATATACACTTTACATTTTCAGCTTTTACATTTAGGTCTGTTATCTGGTGGTGGGCAGAATAATGACCCCCAAAGATATCCACATCTTCATCTCCAGAACTTGTGAAGATATTACATTACCTTATGTGGCAAAAGGGATTTTGCAGGTGTCATTTAAGTTAGGGCCTTGAGGTGGGAGGTGTTCCTGGATTTTCTAGGTGACTCCTCTGCAATCATCAGAGTCCTTGGGAGGGAAAGAGGAAGGCAGAGGCTCAGTCAGAGAGATGCGAGGAAGGAAGGATGTGGAGGTGGGAATAAGGTGACTGCTGGCTTTAGAAAAACCTGTCTGTTCCCATCAATTTGTTGACCATTAGATTACCTTGTAACCCTTTTAATGTTGTAGAATCTGTTGTGATGCTCTCCATCTGTTTGAGGGGCAGCAAGGAAGTCAAGGCTTTTAGAGAAGATCATTGAAGTGAGAAGTCTCCAAGAAGCACCACTGGAGATAATGAAGACTGGCCTGTGTCAGGCCTGGGGCCCTGAGGGACTATGGCTTTCACTTCGGGTGTATTTGAGCAGAAAGTGTCATGTTCCTACATTAAGTGGATCATGCTGATGGCTGTGGAGAGAAGAAAGCTGGGTGGGGGTGCAGGGTGATAAAAAGAGGAAGTAAATCTGAAACCAGCAGCTGCCATCAACCCAGTGAGGGATGCTTTGCCTCCGCCTAGACTGGACACAGGGTGAATAAGCAGCCATTGGATACTGCAGGTTTGGAGGGCAAATTCAACAGCATATGCTAGCAATTGAGCACGGGAACTAAGAAAAAGAGAAAAATCAAGAGTATGTGGGAGTTTTTGCTCAAAAAGTTGGAAGAACCAAATTGCCGTTTACAGACGTGAAGAATTTGCAAGATCAAGCTTAGGTCTGTGGGTGGAGGAAAGATGAAGATGGATTTGGTGGTGGACGTCTTCAGTTCAGGAGGCCACTGATGAACCGAGTTGTACAGGTGCCAGGAGAATGGATGGAATCACCACAGAGCCGAGTGAGGAGAGAAATCCACGGAGGCTAGAGGACTGAGTGCTTATCAGAAGATGGAGAGGACGAGGACCCAGACTGGGAGAAAATGAGCACCAGTGGCGTGGAAGGGAAACCGAGAGAAGGAGGCTCCTGGAGTTCAGTGAAGAATGCCGTTGGGGGAGGGCAGGCACTTCTGTCAAAGCTGCTGACCACTAAGCAAGGGGGTGGGGGATCCCAGGCAGGAACACTGGGTTTACAAACATGGCAGATAACGGTGTTACTACTTGGGGGAAATATGTAAGCCACGTTACATATTTTGTTACCTTCAAATTAACTGTAATTTTGAAGTCTTGTAATAGTCATGGAGCATCCCTGTGGCTTTTTGAGTCATGGACCAAAGAGGAATCCTGTCTTCTCCATGGTAGAGTCCCCATTCCCTCCTCACTGCCAAGACCTGGAAGCCCTAAGCCTGAATCATGTCCCGGAACGACGCATAACAGCTCTGGAATCTCCAGTGTTCCAGAATGACCTGGGAAAGATGAAAACCAAGCCAATCTCGAGTCACTAGGAGAATTTCCATACCTTCATAAAATCAACATGCTTCACAGGGAATAGCAAAAGAACATTTAACAGAGACGTGGAAGAAACCGTTTTGCACTAGAAATCGGGATCTGAGAAATTTCTTCTCAGCATACTGAAGAGGGAATGCCTGCTCTCCATCACAGGTCCTAAGCTGTATTTTCTCTTTTGTATTCACAGGAGAAAGTCTTCTGGGCATCAACACTCAAGATTTCTGGAACCGAGCCTACATATTGAAGATTCCAGGTTGTGTAACTATCATTATTCAGTGATGCTTTCACAGCAGGACCAGGAGGTTGGCTTGATTTAAAATATCATATCTGCAGATGCATGGACATTCTAATCATGATCACTAGATTAAAGATGAGAATCTCTAAAACTCTTCCACTTGCAGAAAAGTTGATCCCACCCTATTTTAATGTTAAGTCTCTATCAATGTAATGTTTATGAACATAGATTGTTAAAGATCTTGTCTAACTGACTTCTCTGGTCCAGCTTGTCTGCCTTTCCTCTCTGAGTACCTTGGTTGCTATTCAAATCTTAACTCAAATGCCACCTCTTCCACTTCTTGCTCCAGTCACCTGAGCAAGCTGTGGTTCTGACTTTAATCTCCACTCCCAGGGCAACAGCATCACCAACATGGTAATCATCATGTTTTGTTGGGTGATAAAACTGTTTGTATTCATGTATACAAATGCATATCTTAACTTCTGTGGTGCACAACAAACTGCTTCTGAGCAAAAATAAGTCTGACTTATTGATAGCTACTTCACAACTCCGGGCAATGTGCCTTGCATATAGGTGTTCCATAAAGTTATGCAAATACCCTGGCCAGAAATATTATAGATATTAACTAATTGCCAGCATCTCAACTGAAGGTGAAGCTCAAGGTTGCTTATGAAAGGGAGAGAGAGATAAGGATTGAAAACGAGAGAGATAGAGAGAGAGAGACTTGATGGTTATATTTAGTTGATGATGTGACAAAATAACAATTTCAGCTGGAATAGAGAAATTGACACAAAGCATTGAACAAAAGTGAAGATGAAATGATATGGAAGATTATGCTGATGAGAATAAAGTAAGAGATTCATTGCTGAAAGAGGCACCCTTTCAACTCAATTGATGGTTGGTGAGATCTAGATCGTAAGCATGAACAAATACCCTGCATGCAATAAAGAATTGGAGTTAGCAAGCCAGTACGCTAACAAGCAGAGAAAAATTATGTGCAATGCTTGAGGGGATAATAGGATTCGAAAAGAGAAACTTATAAAGAGAAAGTGAATGAGGCGGTGAAGAGCTGTATAAAAATTTTATCTGGAATAGTTTAAGAGATAACTTTTGTATTTATGCAAGACAAAAAAATACTGCACTGTTAAGATGAAAAGTTATAAATAATGGCAAGGATTTGGTTTAAACTTTCAAAAGCACGTTCATCTATCAAAATGTCTCTTTGGATTTGCATTTTGGGATCGGCATACTCTGCCAGGGATGAGAGAAGAAACGGCTAAGTAAGAGGTGTGTGTCCTATTTAAGTCATCTCTTTAAGCCATCTCTTCCTGGAAAGAGGACAGAGACACACAGGGTCGAGGTGCTAGGGCAATAATAGACAATGGTGCTAGGATAGTTGTGCTAAAAGAAGACCAGAGATTACCAATTTCCCTTGGAGTCTGGACATTCCCTGATGTTTTTGGACTTTTAGTTGCTGGGAATTTCCACATCGCCCGGGACACCTAAGAGCGTGTAGAGCTCCCCTCCTTCTCCCCACGTCCCTCCCCTGCTGCACTGCCTGGCCAGTTGTCCACGGGAAACTGACACCCTCATCCTGTGTCATATTCTGGACACGTACAGTTTCACCCCCTTGGATCTAAAGCCAAGATTATTCTTTGCCACATTGTTCCTTTTGTTTTTCAAGTTCTGGTTCACCTTACATACACACCTGTCTGTCATTTGGATCCCCCCATGGGACATAGAAACTGATTGCATTATTTTCTCTTTAGTGTGTTAAGAATCACCTCGAGATCACCTTTTTCCTATACCTGCTCCCTAGTGGAGCCAGTTCTGCACACAGATGTCAGCTTTTTCTGGGTTTGGGACAGGTGCAGCCCATTCCTGCTCAGGGCTCTTAGAAGCCTCAGCTGGTTAGATGTATCTATGGTGATGGCAGAGGCTGGTCCTCTGCCATTCAGGACCATAAAGTTCAGAACCAGCTTGCTCCTCCTTAACAGGCATTTACTTTCATGTTTATTGTGAGTTTTACACATGGCAAGTCTGTTTATAAGGGGTCTGATATGGTTTGGCTGTGTCCCCACCCAAATCTCATCTCAAATTGTAGCTGCCATAATCCCCACATGTCATGGAAGGGACATGGTGGGAGGTAATTGAATCATGGAGGTGGTTACCCTTATACTGTTCTCGTGACAGTGAGTTCTCACGAGGTCTGATGGTTTTATAAGGGGCTTTTCCTCCCTTTCCTCTCATTCTTCTTTCTCTTTCTGCCATATGAAGAAGGACATGTTTGCTTCCCCTTACACCAAGATCATATGTTTCCTGAGGCCTCCCCAGCTGTGCAAAACTGAGTCAATTAAACATCTTTCTTTTATAAATTACCCAGCCTCAGGTATGTCCTTATAGCAGTGTGAGAAAAAATGAATACAGAATCCATACGAATATTGCATTTTATTTACCCAGAAAAGTGTATACAAATTCTTCTGTGTGTGAGACTGATTAGGTGATGGGGTAGGATGGGAAGACAGACACCTGTCACTATGTCTTACACAGAGGAGCCTTCCATATGACATCTGGAGGATGATGGGCAGCCCCAAAGTGTACTTGCTCCTTTTTTTCCTCGATTATATTCAATGGTGGTTTTTCTGTGTTGTTATTTTTACTGAGAGCCAGGATTTTTAGTTATTAATTTGGCCTAACTGTTTTTCTCTATTTTATCAATTCTTGCTCACATCTTCATTATATCCTTTCTTGTACCATTTCATGAATGACACTCTACTCCAATTGAGTCCAGTCCATTCAGTAAATTGGTCCTACCATGTGTTAGTTTCTTGCCACTGTGGCAAAAAGGTATGAAATGGGAGGCTTCAAACAAGAAATCTGTTCTCCTCACAGCCCTGGAGGCCCGAAGTCCGAAGTTGAGGTTTCAGCACAGGTGCACTCACTCCGAAGGCCCCAAGATGGAAGTCTTCCTGTCTCTTCCAGCTTTTAGTGACTGCCAGCACTCCTTGGCTTGTGGCCACATGGCTCCAGTCTCTGTGGACACACATCTTCTCCTGTGTGTCTGCCCAAGCTCCCTCTGCTCTTTTCTTACAAGAATGCTTGTGAGGGTGTTCAGATAATCCAGGATGATGGCATCTCAAGATACTTCATTTTATTACATATGCAAAGACCCTTCTTTGTAAGTAAGGTAATATTTTAATGTTACATGAATTAGAAAGTGAAGATGGATAAATTCATCCCTTGGTATCCACAAGGGAATGGTTCCAGGATCCCCTATTGATATCAAAATTCACAGATGCTCAAGTGTCAGATATAAATGGTGCAGTATTTTCATATAACCTATGCATATCCTTGCATAAACTTTAAATAATCTATAGGTTACTTATAACACCTAATACAATATAAATGATAAGTAAATACTTGCTATGCTTTATTTTTATTTGTATTTTTATTGTTGTATTATTATTTTTATTGTTTTTAAAATATTTTCAACTAGCAACGGGTTGAATGTGTGGATGTGGAACTCAGGGTACTCAAGGATATAATTTGGAGGAGGTGATGGGGCATATCTTTTTTTAGTCTCCCACACAGACTATGTTTATGTAATTCCCTCTCTTGTTTACTAATATCTTTACTCATCTTCATTTTTGGAATCCTAGGCCCATCATGTAGAGTTTATTTTTCTTGAAAAATATCCTCTGTTAGATGTTTTTATGTAAGTGGTTACTTCCATCAGATGGAAACATCCTTATTTTCCCATGCTATTTAGTAACAACCTCTCTGGTGATAGAGCTCTGGTGCCTTTTATCATCTATTTTTGTTTTCAGTCTTAGAACATCATTGTTTGGTATTGAGAAGTTGTAATACATCATCTCAGTGTAATTTATTTTTATATGTCCTGTTTTGAGTTCCTTGTTAATCTAAAATTTGAGGAATGTATTTGTTCACACTTTCTGGAAAATGAATCATCTCTTCTCTTCCATCTTATCAACTTCCTATTCTGATACTTTTAATGGAAATTGGAGTCTATCATTGCATCCTTCATAATTCTTCATTTCTATTTGATATTTTCTATTTTGTCATCTCTAATCAATTCTGATAAATTTATAAAGCTCAATCACCCACGTAGTTCATTAATTCCTTCTTAAGATAAATCAAATAATTGGATTTAATTGCCATATCTATGCTTTTAAATTTATAGGTGCTCCACTTAACTTACAGAAATATCAATTTTCCCATTCTTCATACATCACGACTTCTATTATTTGCTTGGTTTTAATCAATTCAACTGTATTTTTAGAATTGATCTTAATATTACTACTCTCTTACGTTTAGTTCTTGAGTGTCTAATTCCGCTTTTTCTTGTGTTTTTTGACTTTGATTATCGTGTTGTCCCCACAAAAATCTATTTTCCAGTTTTATAATAAAAATAGAAAGCACAGTGTTTTCCTGTGTTTTCTATTTTTATTATAAGCGCTTTTATGTTGATTTGTTTTTATTTAAAATCCCTTAAGTTTAGTTGTTTTTTCAGCTTGTGTTATTTGCACACAAAGTTTGCTGTTTAAATTCCCACTCCAAACCAATGTGATATAAAAGTTCTAAATTCTGAATTATCATTTTGGGTTTTTTCTTCCACTTACAGCCCAAACAAAAACAGGCAGCTATCACTGATGTTCATATGTATTTCAAGAGGTGTTCATATGGATGATCTAACATTTTTCTACTGTTTCTTTCCATAGGGGAAAAACATTTTATGATTTTTGTTTAATGCCATACACTCATTTCCAACACTAATCTTCATGAAGATATTCAAACAAAAACTTACTAGGTTATCAAGACCATTAATACATTTCCCCCAAGAAGACCAGTGCATTTGCTCATGCAAAAGATATACCTGAATAAATAATGTCACGGAAATTTTCCAAATTATTTATAGACACCAAAGCATAGATTCACATTTAAGAATTACAATGAACAGCAATCAAAATGGATAAGTATCCACACACACTCACTCAAATTAAACCTAGCAATACAAACTGTGAAAGGATATCTAGAACAAAATGGACTTCCTTTCATGTAGGTGCAAGTGTAAATTGGGAAATATATTTAAGAAAACAATTTGACATTAGCTAGTAGTGTTGAAGATGTACATATCTATGAGTCTGTGATTTAACTCATTGGTATTAGAGTACACCCTAAAGAGAGTCTTGAGCATGGGCCCAAAGAAACACATATAAGAATGTTCAAATATCAGTGTTTGTAATAAAACTGAGGAAAATGACTATCAATAAAATAATAAATACATAAATGTTGATATATTCACACAATGGAATATTTTCTCACTATTAAAAATAAATGACATAACTATATGTGAAAACTAAACAAATAATTAGAAATATTATTAAAGAACAATAGTGAGTTTTTAAAAATTATTTCGCACATGTCCTAAACAAGTAAAACTATAAAACTTTGCTTCGTTGCACACACACACACATACATACACACCTTTTAAGAGCAAATAAATAGAAAATTGTGAAGTATGCAACTCCAAATTCTGTTTTTTTCATAAAAGCTGTGAAAACCTGGCAAAATTGTTAGATTCAACATTTTTAGAACTCAGGAAATGAACCAAAGGCTTGCAGCATCCTGGGGGACACTTTTTTAAGAAAAAAGAGCTTATTCTCAGAAGGAACAGCAAACTCCAGAGAGATTTGACTTACCCCAGTACCATTTCTCCCTCCCCAGTGTAATGGTAGTCATAAAAGTTAACAGCTCACATTCACTGGAATTTGTATGTTGAAATCCTAACCACCAGTATTTCAGTGTGTAATCTTGAGGAGGAGCATCTTTACAGAGATAACCAAGTTAAAATGAGGTAACTGAGTGGATTTTAATCCAATATGACTGGCGTATTAGGAACATTTGGACACATAGGCATGTATAGAGGAATGGAGACATGAGGCCATGTAGGAAGAAGACAGCCAGCTGCAAGCCAAGGAGAGAGGACTGGAGCAGATCCTGCCCTCAGAGCCCTAAGAAGGAACTAATGCTTCTGACACAGAGGTTTTGAACTTATGGTCTCCAGAACTGTGTGACAATACATTTCTGTTGTTTAAACCATCCAGTTTGTGGCACTTTGTTATAGTAGCCCTGGAAACCTACTAGAGAGGAGTTAAAAGAATCAAATGAAAATTCTCCAATTGGGAAGTACTGTAGCTGAAGTGAAAAATACACTACAGGGTCTCAGTAGAAGACTTGCACAGGCAGAAGAAAGAATCCGTAAGCTTGAGGGTAGGTCAATTGAGATGACACAGTCTGAGGAATAAAAAGAAAAAATATTTTCTTTAAATGTAGAGTTGTGTAGACCTGCAAGAGACCACAAATGTACAAGCATACACAAAATGGGCCTCAGAAAAAGAACAGAGAGAGAAAGAGGCACAGGTAATATTTCAAAAAATGATAACCACACTTTCCCTAATGTGAAGAAAAGTTTTAATCTACACATAAAAATGTTCAACAAACCTCAATCAGGATAAAATCAGGATATCCAAACTAGGATATGTTAAAACTGAATTGTTGGAATTCAAAGACAATCTTGAAAACAGTAGGAGGAAAACAACTTATAACACACAAGGGATGCTTGGCAAAATTAACAACACATTTCCCATTAAAAACAATTAAGTTCAGAAAGCAATGGGATGATATATTTAGTGTTGAAGAAAACACTGTCAACCAAGAATATTATTTCCAGAAAAGCTATGCCTTCAAAAATGAAAGGAAAATTAAGACGTTACCAGATAAACAAAAGCTCAGAATCTGTTGTTGTTAGTTCTAACTTACAAGGAATGCTAAAGGGAGTCCTTAAGGCTGAAACAGAAGGACAATCAACAATATCTCAAATCCACCTGAAATAATGAAGGACTCAGGGGGTGATAACCTTATAAGTAAAAATAAAAACAGTATAAGTGAGTTGTTTTGTTTACAACTCCTTCTTTATCTTATTTTTAAAAAATGATTGCATAAGACAATAATTATAAATCTAGGTTGATGGTAAAACACTATATAAAGAAGCTATTGTGAAAATCACAGCAAAAAGTATGGAGCAGAACTAGATAGAAGCAAAATTTTTAATATTTTTGAGACCAAATTGGCATTAATTTAAACTGGATTGGTATAATTTAAGATATTTATTGTACTCTGCAGGACACCCACTATGAAAATAACTCAAAAAATATAGTAAAGGAAATGTTAAAGGAATTGAAATTGTACACTAGAAAATATTTATTTAATGCAAAAGAAAGAAATGATGGAGAGAGTGAGAGAAAAAAGGTATAAAACATATATAAAATAAATAGTTAAATGGCAGAAATCCTTACTTAACAGAAATTTCATTTAATGTAATTGACTAACTTCTACATGATAAAAGGCAGAGATTGTCAGAACATATTTTAAAAATTATCATACTATATGTTATATATAAGAGACTTACATTAAATTCAAGGACACAAATGGATTGAAAGTAAAAGGATGTAATTTATGCAAATAGTAACCAAAAGAGAGCTGCGGTGGCTATACAAATATCAGTCAAAATAGACTTTAAATTAAGAATTGTTATAAAGGACAAAGAAGGACATTATATGTTTATAAAAGGGTTAATTCATCAAAAATATGTAACAATTATAAATCTGTATTCACCTAAAAAAAAGTACCAAACTGATGAAGCAAAAAATAACTTAATAACTTAAGTAAAAATTAAGCAAAGATTAACTTGCTTCATCAGTTTGGTACATTGTTTTTAGGTGAATAAGTATTTGTGATTGTTACATTTTTTAATGGATCAACCCTTTTATAAACATAATTTGAAAGAAGAAATACACATTTTACAAAAATAGAGATTTTAATAGTAGTCCACTTTCAGTAATTGCTGGAGCCGCTAGAGTGAAGATCAGTAAGAAAATAAGACTTGAATTATATACCAACTGGACATGGCATCTATAGAACACCCCATCTAACAATGGCAGAATACAAAATTTTTTCAAGAGTATATGGAACATTCTCCAGGGTAGGCCACATGTTAATCCATAAAATATGTCTTAATAAGTTAAAAATGTAAAAATCAACATATGTTCTCTGACTTTAAAGGATGAAAATTAGAAAAAAATGGAATTCACAAATATCTGAAAACTAAATAACTTTTTATAAAACCAATAAAAATGGAGAATCACAAGAAAATAAGAAAATACATTAATATGAATGAAAATGAAAACAAAATATGCTAAAATTTATGAGATATAATGAAAGCAGTGCTCAGATCAAAATTTGTAACTGGAAATGTGAGCACTATGAAAGAAGAAAGATTGCAGATGTATAAACTAATCTTCCATTTTAAGGGGATAAAAAATAGAAGAGCAAACTAAACCCAAAGAAATAGGAAGGAAAGGAATAATAAATATTATCAGGACATAAAAGAATTAGACAATAGATAAAACAAGAAAGAAAAATCAATGAACCTCAATTTTGGTTCTTTAAAAATATAAACAAAATTGACAACACATTGGACTATTGACCAAGAATAAAAGACAAAAAGGTCAAATTACTAAATTAGAAGTGAAAGAAGATACATTACAATCAACCTTAAGGAATTGAAAAGGATTAATAGAACTACTATAAACAACCAATTGGCAACAAATTAGATAACTTAGATGAAATAAAAGGACTACCAAAACTGACACAAAAAGAAATGGAAAATCAGATTAGACCTACAACCCCTAATATATTAAATTAGTAATAAAAAAATCTACCCACAAAGAAAAATCCATTTACAGTAGGTTTCTCTGATAAATTTTACTACATGCTTAATAATGAATTAATAGTAATTATCTTCAAATTCTTCCAAAAAAGAGAAGAACTATTGTCCTTTGAAGAACAATAGTTTTTAATTTTGATTAAATTCAATTTATCATCTTTTGTTTCATTGCTTATGCTTTTGATGTCTAAGAAACTCTTGCCTAATTCAAATGCACAACAATTTACTCCTACGATTCTTGTAAGAGTTTAATAGCTTTATGTCATGTATTTAGCTCTTTGATTAATTTTTTATTTGGTGTGAATCAGAGATCAAATTCATTCTCTTGCATATGGATATTCAGTTCCCAGAAACATGTGTTGAAAAGACAATTGCTTCCCCATAGGGTGGTCTTGACACCCTTTATTTCCATACTCTTCATGCTGTCCCATTGGTCCATATATCTATCTTCATGTCAGTTCCACATTGTCCTGATTCCTATAGCTTTGTTGTAAGGTTTGAAATCAGGAAGCATAAATCCTTCAACTTTGTCTTCTCCTTCAAAAAGGTTTGGTTTATCTTGGGCCATTGGAATTTTCATGCAAATTTAGTATCAGTTTGTCAATTTCTGTGCCAAAGACATCTGGGATCTTGATAGGATTATATTCAATCTGTAGATCAATTGGAATAGTATCCTACATTACCAACATTAAGATGTCCATTTCATGAATATGAGATATCTTTTTATTTATCTAGACCTTTTTTAATTTCTTTCAACAATTTATTGTAGTTTTAAGAGCATAAACATTCCATTTCTTTTGCTATAATTATTCCTAATTCAGTGCTATCATAAGTAATTTTTTTCTTAATTTTAACTTTGAATTGTTCATGTCTAGTGCACAGAAATAGAAGTAATTTTTATATATTAATTTTGCATACTGCAACATTTCTGAAGTCGTTTAGCAGTTTTAATTATTTTAATAGATTTGTTAGAATTTACTATATACAATTATGTCATCTTCAGCTACATATGGTTTCACTTCTTCCTTTCCAATCTGGATGCCTGGTATTTCTTTTGCTTCCCTACTTGTCCCTGCCACATCTTCCAGTTTAATATTGAAAAGAAGTGAAAAGAGTGGAATCCTGCCTTGTTCCTTATTTTATTGAGACAACATTCAGCCTTTACCACTGAGTATGACATTGGCGTTGAGAGTTTTATAGGTGACTTTTATCAGGTCCAGGAAGACCCCTTCCATTTTTATTTTGTTAACAATTTTTATCATGGACAATGTTGGATTTAATTAACTGCTCTTTTTTATCTATTGAGATGATTATGTTTTGTTTATCCTTTATTCTATTGATATGGTGTAGTTCATTAATTGATTTTAGGATGCTAATCCCATCTTTCTTTTATAGGTAAATCCCCCTTGGTCATGTTATATACTCCTTTTATAGGTAGATGGTTGTTTTGTTTGCTACTACTTTGTGAAGAATTTTCTTATCTATGTTTTTAAGATATATTCATCTGTGGTTTGATTTTCTCACCATGTCTTTTGTCTGGATTTTGCTATTAGAGTAATATCAGCCTCATGGAATAAGTTGCAAAGTGTTTTCTATTTTCTTAAGTGTTTGAGAAAAATTGATGTTGATTATTAAGTGTTTGGTAAAATGTAACAA
Source organism: Homo sapiens (assembly GCF_000001405.40). Classification (NCBI taxonomy): domain Eukaryota; kingdom Metazoa; phylum Chordata; class Mammalia; order Primates; family Hominidae; genus Homo; species Homo sapiens. Next base: position 1,813,519 of record NC_000010.11, on the reverse strand, counting down.
TAAAGCTAACTAGGTCTTGGTTTGTTTTGGTGGGTAGTTTTGGGATTGCTCATTTAATCCTTTAATCTGTTTACTAGGCCCATTCAGATTTTCTATTTCCTCTTGAGTAGTTTGAATAGTTTCTGTCTTGCTGGATGCTTGTCCGTCTCATCTAAGCCATCTAATTTGCTGTCATGCAGTTGTTCATGGGTCAATGAACTTCCAACTTTTACACAGCTAGCCAATTATATACCTTATAACAATTATCTTACAATAATTTTTATTTCTATAGTATTGTCAGTAAGTCCCTCTTTCTTTGTTCCTTTGGGAAATGGTTCTTCTTCCCTTTCTCTTTGGTCAGTCTAGCTAAAAATCTGTCAATTTTCTTCTTTTCAAATAACCAACTTTTAGTTTCATTGGCTTTCTCTGTGGCTTTTCTATTCTGCATTTCATTTAATTCTGCTCTAATATTTGTTATTTCCTTTCTTCTCACGGCTTTGTGTTTAGCTTGCTCTTCATTGACCTGATATCGTATTTTGAGATTAGATTGTCAATTAAAGATCTATCTGGCTTTCTTTATGTGTATATTTTCAGCCATAAATTTGTCTTTAAACACTGCATTAGCTGCACCCCCATAATCTCTGTCATGTTGTGTCCTCATTTCATTAATTTTGAAGTATTTTAAAATGTATCTTGCAATTTCTTTTTTACTCGTTGGTTATTTAGGACTGTGTTAATATCCACATACATGTGAATTTTTCAAATTCCTTTCCATTGTTGATTTCTAATTTAACCCCTTTATGGTTAGAAAACATTATGTTTAAATTTTTTTAATTTTTTAAATGTATTAAGGCTTTTTTATGGTATATTATGGTCCATGCGGAAGAATGCCCTATAGGCACTGGAGGATAATACCTATTCTCTCTTGTTGGGTGGAATGTTCTATAGGTAGCTGTTAGGCGTAGTTCACAACCAGTAAGTTATGACAACTAATTAATCATTAAGGTCTTATATGTCCTGGGGGATATAACGGTTAAGGCTGACCCCAAAGTTTAAGGAATGAATAATCTAACTGGAGAAGTACACATGAGAAATTGATGTTCAATAAAATATAATATTTATGCTATAAATTATGGGTACAGAAAATAATTATTCTGAAGTGTCTGATACATTGAGAAATATGATATTTGGAGCAGGGAAGATTCTAGGAGAAGTGGGGCTTGAGTCTTGGGCATGAAAGTTGGGTAGGATTTGTCTGACATATAATCAAGGAAAGGATTAGGAATAAGCCATTTAAAATGACAGGGCTTAGAAACCATGTGGTTAGTATAAATCAAATTTGAGACATACAGACTAAAAGAGTCGACAACTCAATGGGAATAAAACATAAAATAATGAAGGAAGGGTAAGCAGATAATTTGGAAATCAGATGAGAATTATGTGAGAGTGATTGCTAATTCAATAATTTAATGAATCTGCACATCTAGTCATCACCTTTTGCTTTGTGGTACCAAATTTGTGTTCATATCTTTATTCTCATGCATTCATTTACATCTATTTGAATAATGCTCAATTTATTGCTTAAAACCTCTAAGGACAAATATTACCTACCTGACCTCCAAAGTTATCTGCTTTCAAGTAAAGCGATTATGAAACCCAAATCCCGATTTTTAGTCTGAGTGAATATCTATGTATTTTCTCATATTCCCTTAAATTCACTGACCCTGATTGTTAAATGGCTATTTATGTTGAATCCTGGAAAACCACAAATAATCGATGCTTTTTGATGTGCATGCACTTTAATTTCATGTGGTTCAAATGATTAGCATATCCCTTTCCAGAAAATTCCAAAGCAGAAAGCACAGAAATGTGTGGCTTTGCTAGGCACTGACATGGTCTCACACTATGTCAGTAACCCACCGGACAGGAGCTTGTGGAACCATTACCCAAGTGGACTGAGCCATTTCATTCTTTAAAGGAAATAAAGCCCATGGAATCTCAAGCTTTCCTTTTCGTCTGCATGCCTTAATTTACATAACAAATTTGTTCCAAATTGTTCCTGTTTTGTCTCCTAACACAGCAGGCCCCTTATGGAGGCCTAATGAACACATTTAATGAACCCATAGTAATCCATTTTTAAAGGACAAATTGGATTGTAACTTAAAGAATCATTCCAAATATTTATTTACAAAATTAGATATGCATAGGTCCATGGTTGAATATATAGGTCTTATCTGTTTTGGACACATTCAATGTCTCTGAATACAAATTAAAGTATTATTTTTCCCTTGATCTTGAATTTTTTACACTTGAAGTAAAGAAGGAAATGTGTTTTTTAAATGTTAGATTTATTACATTGTATCTGCACACATCTCTGTATGTATGTATAGATACATATAATTTTATAATTTCTTAGACTTCCTCCTATAGAATATAGCAAGAAATTTTCAATCTATAAATTTAAATGTGTGTGCACAGTGGTATTTCAATAAATATGTCATCAAAAATGGAATACTGAGATGAAAATACGGTGTTTTAATAAATGTTATAAACTCTTTTTTAAATGACAAGTTAGACAATTCACTGGGCCTATTCTTAATTTTCTATGTAGTGAAAGTGATAATACCTTTCTAACATGCAGAATGATTATGATTATACTAGTATTAAAGACAAAAGCTGAAAATCAGATTGTAAGTCATGCAAACCAGAGAAAAATGACTGTCTGCATATTTCCTCAAGGTTGTCTCATAACTTAGAGACTGTTTTGTGGCTTTATTGTGGATATAGTTTGGTTGCAATTTCTTTTACCACTCTAATTTCCATGACAATCTAAATATTTGTTTTGGAGTATTTTTGTAATTTAGAACTCTAACTTTGAAAGGTTAACAGACTTCCAACTTTTACACTTCTTGTCAATAATAGAGCTGTGTCTAGAATTTAAGGGCCGTTTTCAAAGCCTCCCTCTTTTTTCTCCTCTCTTCTCTGCCTCTCTATCCCTCTCTGTGTGTTTCTCTCTCTGTCCCTCCCCTTCTATATAGAAATATAACTAATAGCATTAATTCATTTTATGTTTCAACTTGGCTGGGCGTGGCATGCCCAGATATTTAACCATGATTTTGGGGGTGTCTGCGTGAAGGCTTCTGGACATGATTAACACTGGAATCAGCAGAGTGAGAAAATAAATTGCCCTCGCTAAGGTGGATGGTTCTCACCAATCCACTGAAGTCCTGCAGAGTAGAGAAAGTCTGCGTGATAAAGAACTCTCTCTCGGCCGGGCGCGGTGGCTCACACCTGTAATCCCAGCACTTTGGGAGGCCGAGGCGGGCAGATCACAAGGTCAGGAGATCGAGACCATCCTGGCTAACACGGGGAAACCTTGTCTCTACTAAAAATACAAAAAATTAGCCGGGCGTGGTGGCGGGCGCCTGTAGTCCCAGCTACTCGGGAGGCTGAGGCAGGAGAATGGCTAAACCCGGGAGGCGGAGCTTGCAGTGAGCCGAGATCGCGCCACTGCACTCCAGCCTGGGCGACAGAGCGAGACTCCGTCTCAAAAAAAAAAAAAAAAAAAAAAAAAAAAAAAAACTCTCTCTCTGCCTGAGTGTCTGAGCTGGGACACAGATCTACCTTGGCCTCAGACTGGACCTCACCACAGTGGCTGTCCTGGGTCTCCAGCTCAGCCTCCAGCACACTGTGAGTCCGGTTCCTATCAAAAATCTCTTATTGCTTCTACTCCCTGGAACATCCAGACTAATATGCACATGTGTGTATATATATTACCAACATACACATCTGAATATTCACATCACACGCACACACACACACACACACACATACACACACCACAGAGATTCTGGGAGTGGTTTCCGACAGCACCCTCCACTCCTTGCTGGCGTGAGAACCGTCTCTTGACGGCTGCTGTCTGTCAAGGGAGATCTGGGATGACTAAATGGGGTGTGAAATTGTGTCACCCACGCCTAGAACATGAGACACGATGTTGGCTGGTTTCAGCTCTGCACCTTACACAGCAGACATAGCTTGGAAATTAATCTTATACGTTTTCTTAAAAGGAAACCAGCAGTTGTGACACTCAGCTCTGCAGCATTCTCCCCTCACGGCTGGCATACACCCTGCTTCGCGGCCTGATCCTGTCTCCGCACCGTGTTGCTAGGTGATTCTCAACACCGCGGGGTTTAGGGAAACATGGGGGCACGCGCATGCGCACATCTCAACACCGCTGGGTTTGGGGGAACATGGGGACACGCGCATGCGCACACAGGCCTGCACGCGGCAGCACCTCGCCCAGGCTGGCACCTCACGCAGAAGTGAAGCCATGTGGAAGCTCCACACTGTCCCCGCTAGTAACTCTGAAATATCTGCAGGAGTTATTTTAAGGGATTACATATAGAAACAGCAATAAGTTCAAATTGTCTTAATGAGAAAATATTTATTTCTATTAAAAATTGGAATTTTGAGAATACTTATTGCTTTATCATATTCCAAAAAACGTTTAATGCTGAATCTTTTAAAAATTTTCTTTACTTATTTTCTATAAACCTGATGCTTTTTCTTTTCCGTTGGCATCTATTTATTTTACTCATACTTCATAAGAAAAAGTTTCTTATAGTGAATGATATTTAGTGTCCTTGAACATTGGAATTGATTTTTAAAAAATATTTACTAAAAGCATCTGTAAAATTCCTGTGCAAGACATAGAGAATACGGTGAGAGAGAAGCCATCGTTCTTCCTCTCCAGAAAATTACAAATCTTTTCTTATTATGAATACTCATTCTTTGTCCACAGTGAACGGGGCTTCATTTTATCTGATTTTTTGTAATTATATAATAACATATGCTTACTGTAAAAAGTAGCAATAATAATAATAAAACGGTATGTCCCTTGTATCCATGGAAGATTCGTTCCAAGACCCCTGTAGATGCCTGAGATGGCAGCTTGCACCAAGACTTGTATGTATTATGTCTCCCTGTACTTACATATCTATGATAAAGTGTTGTCTATAAATTAAGCACAGTAAGAGATTAACAACGATAACTAATAAAAATAGATCAATGATAACAATATACTCCAATAAAAGTTATGTGAATGTGGTCTCTCTCTTTCAAAATATTTTATTGTGCCATAGTTTGGGTAGCCCACGGATAACTGAGTAACTGTGCATAAGGGGGACTACACTAGTAATAGGATAAAGTAAAACAACCTAAACAAGTTATAAGAAAGAAAATATTCATCTATAAATATCCCAGCTCTGCTGTGTTGGAGGCAATTCTGTGGCTCATGCCTGGCGCCCACACAGGGATGGGCAGTGGCACCGTTGGGTTCCCAGGACACTCACGGTTCTCTGGCGCGCGCTCCCGTCGCCCTGGCCTCCCCTAGCTGCTCTGACCTGTGTGCCTAGACGCCAACGCTGCCGCATGGGTCCCCCAAACCTTCCCCCGGAGCACCACGGAGCAACACACGCCAGGCGGACACGAGGCGCGGTGCGCACCGTTCATGTTTCAAACGTGATTGGAAATTTTTCACATCACCTCCTACACAGCGAACTCTAATTTTAATGAGTAGAAATAACGCACCGGCTCGTTTGTTTTCATGATATGCATTCCCAGGAGTAGAATTGCTGGGTAAGAAGAGAGGTGAGCTCTTCACTCTCAAACTCTTTGCACAGTTTTCCTCTGTGCCTGGCTGTGGTTGCAGTGGCCCGGTGTGTGCTGCTGAGGGTCCCTTTTGGTCCCTTTTACCAAGAACCACCATATCTGGGAGTTCAAAATGTTCGCTTTCGTGGCTCTCTGATGCCTTTCCGGTCATCTTTTTGTGTGTTTCTTCTTTTCCTTGCCATCTTTCCTTCTCCCTTTGCCTCTGCTCCCAGCTTCTGGGGTAACCTTAGCAAGGGCAGACTTCCTTCCCAGAGGGGGTCACTGCCACGTCCCTCATCTGCCGCAGAGGGGGTCACTGCTGCACCTGTTATCTGCAGAGGCAGCTGGGAGGAGACAGAGACCCAGCCATGTTCCCTGTACCATCTCTGTTGCTGGAGACCTCCAAGCTTACCACCTCTCTCTGGCTACAGGGGCCCCCAGCCCAGCCCACCTACCTGTCCAGGCACAGGGCTCCCGGCCAACGCGCCCAGGTTTCCATCTGAGTTGGCATTGGGTGTACCCAGCCTGGAGAGCCCCCGCTGCCAGCCTGGGCCGTGCTCTGCTCGGGAAAGCTCATGGTGGGTGGCACGAGCTGAGAGAGAGTCCAAGGGTGGCACATGTGCAGGCCTGGGTCCTCCCCCATGAAGGCCCCGCCCTGGCACTGTTACCTGTGGGACCCAGACCTGCACCTGCAGGATAGATTTTCTTCCTCTCTCTCACACTGAGGTCTGTGATAGAGGAGGTTCATTCTCCTGAGCCCCTGCCATCTGACATTGCCATCTGACACTGCCATCTGACACTGTCGTCATCTCTGCCTGGGGTGAAGGTTAGAATTATTATTATTATTATTATTATTATTGAGACAGGGTCTCACTCTACTGCCCATGCGGGAGTGCAGTGGCACCATCTTGACTCACTGCAACCTCCGCCTCCTGGGTTCAAGCGATTCTCCTGCCTCAGCCTCCCAAGTAGCTGGGACTACAGGCGCCCGCCACTGCGCCTGGCTGATTTTCTATTTTTAGTAGAGATGGGGTTTCACCATATTGGCCAGGATGGTCTCGAATTCCTGACCTCATGATCCGCCTGCCTCAGCCTCCCAAAGTGCTGGCATTACAGGCGTGAGCCACCGCGCCCGGCCAGAACTCTGTCTTAACTGCTGCCAAGATCTGGCTTTGGTGGCAGATATCTTATCTGTCAGAGAGGATTGCTTAGACCCTGGAAATATCCCATCAGCAACAATCTCATATGTGTCCAAATGAGGCAAGTAGCATGGAGAGAAAAGGCAAGTTCTGAAAAGGACGGGTGGCCACGTCACGCTATGTCATCACCTACCTGCGTCTCTGTGCTGCATTTGTAAGGAGTCCATCATCAACAGTTAATCCTTGAAACACCACTGAGACCAGGAAGAACCCTCAGAGGCAGTAAACCATATGAGAATCCCACTCTCCAAAACAACATTTGCAGGCAGAGGCTGGGCAGACTATTCTAACGACAGTGGAGGTGACAGGCTGTACCTCTCAGGGCTCACTTCAGCTCTGCGTGGAGGGCAGGGCAAGTCAGGGCCCCGCAGGTTTCTTCTGGTCTCTGATTGTGAATCAAGGTAAGGATGTATCACAGAAAGTAAGAACTGATATTTTTCAGGGTTTGTAGGTTCCAGAGTGCTTTCCTGTGAATTCACGTGATGTAGAAACGCAGCCGCTCTCTGAAGCCGGAACACTGAGTGTTGGAAGCCACACCTGCAGCCACGGGGAGACTGAGTCCCGGGTGCTGCAGCAGGGCTGGGGTAGGCCCAGTTCCCTCTCCGGGGGTCTTGATGGCCTGGACTGTTTCTGGCTTAACTCGCCTTTGTCATCTTGTGGCAGACAGAGCTTGACACATGGTGACCCTTGATGAGTGTGACGAAGGAGGGATGAAGGAGGAAGAATTGAGTGGACGGACACGATAGGATAAACGTCCACACGTGCGAGATTTTCATTCTCAGCGTCTCTACCCGACCTGTCACCACACCTTCCAGTCTCTCCCCAGAGGCAGAGCAGGCAGAGGGGTGTAAAATCACTGCATTCCCGACTTCCCTACACATGGATGGGGTCCAGGTAAAGATGCCAAGAGCTGCGCTGTGCCCTGGTTCTCCCAGTGCAGCCAAAACACACTTCATCACAAACACGTGTGTTTTAACGTCCCTTGCAAGAGTGTGAGAACAACCTACTTGTTGTCACTGAACCCAGAGGAAAGCGATGGAAAGGGACTGGCTGTGGCATCTGCCCATGATGGTGAATGTCTCCGACCCCTTCAAGTCAGTGTGTTTGTTCAGGTGGAAGTAGCAAGTCCATGACAGGGATTCTGTGATGACATCCTACCGAAAAGTAGATCTGTCTGGGGCCAGAAAGAGTTCCCTAAACTCCAAAGAGAAAATGCTGTACCACACTGAAGCAGAGTAACAGAAAGCCTCAGGAAAACAGGTGAATGTTGGAAGAGGAGAGGCCCTTTTTAAAATTTAATCACAAATTGAAGTCATCCTTTTTTTTTTTTTTTTTTTTTTTGGCTCTTGGGTTTGTTGTTTCCAAAAACGAAGTGCTCAACACACTTGGGAAGAAATGATGGGATATTTCCCACCTCATATTTTATGCAGATCTTCATTATTCCATATGTTGTTTGGCTTGTTTATGAAGTTTAAGAGTAACTATTTAGAAAAATCCATGCCTAATGGGGCCTGAGGAAGCTGATGATTGTAGAGAGAAGTCCATATGTTTCTGCTCACAGATACATTTTCCAAGATATAGATGCTCCCTGTGTGTCACCTGCTCCTCCATAAATTAATTTCCTTATGCACCTTGGCCTTGGTTTTATATTAAAAATGGAAGATATTTGATCTCCTAAAAACGATAATTTATATTGAATATTACATTTGGTGATTCCGTCCCGTTTGAGGTTTGTTGCAAGAAAACGCTTATTTTTACCAATATTTATCATTTGTAGACTAACCTAAGATATGATTTTTACAAGAAAATCCTGCTTGTTACATATTGACATAATTTCAAAAATATCTGTCTTGCTGTCTTTTTGCCTACCCGACACGAACCGTGCTCCTAAGGATGGTTAAAGAAGCTAGGACTCCCTCTTCCTCCAGAGGTTCCTACATTCTAGAGTTGACAGCCTGGATACACACTGAAGAAATGAAGGAAAGACCCATTGGTTCAGATTCATCATAAACAAGCCCATGAGGCTGTGGGGGTGTCAGCTACCTCACCAGGGCCAGGCTGGGCTGAAGTCGTGGCCCGTTCAAAGGCATCACGGTGGAGCCCTGTTGTTTCTGTGGCTACAGAAGCAGGTCCTTTACAGGCTGAACTGTGACCTCCAAATTCACAGGCGAGGTGGTGCAGGAACGAACAGGTACAGCCTGGTGCCATGAGGGCCTGCGGTTTTAAAGGAAACAGAAGTGGCCCGGCCTGGATGCGCCAGTGAGGATCAAGGTGGGCCCACCTGGCACATGGGATGCTGGGCAGGAGGATGGGGGAGAGGAAAACAGCCCCTGGAGAGGCGGGCAGCCAAGGCCGCTGTGCCCTGAGGCTCTGGTCAGCCTGAGGGAAGAGGTGAAAGGCAGGGCTGAGAATGGGAGACGGTGCTGACAACGGGCTCACAGGTCTGGAAGCCCATATAGCAGGACCTCAAGAACTGAGGAGAATGGCCAGGCGCAGTGGCTCACACGTGTAATCCCAACCAAAACTTCGGGCAACTGAGGCAGGCGGATCACCTGCGGTCAGGAGTTCGAGACCAGCCTGGCCAACATGGTGAAACCCTGCCTCTATTAAAAATACAAAAATTAGCTGGGTGTGGTAGAGTGCGCCTGTAATCCCAGCTGAACCCAGAAGGCTGAGGTGGGAGAATCGCTTGAACCAAGGAGGTGGAGGTTGCAGTGAGCCGAGATCGTGCCGTTGCACTCCAGCCTGGGTGACACAGCAAGACTCCGTCTCAAAAATAAAAAATAAAAAAAATGAGGAGAAATGTGAATGGAACAAAGTGGTGGAGTGATGGGGGCGTGGAGAGAAGGCCCCGCTGCAGGGTCCTGGGCATGTAGCCTGAAGGACCTCTGATGACAGGGTGCTTGCTGAGAGTTGGTCAATATCGTTGTGTATTGCATCTCTGTGGTGTGTCTGTTGCAGAACTCTCATTGCTTTGTCTATATCCCTTCTCACCAGAAATCGAAGCCCTTTCCTTCTTTTGTTTTCACCTTCTGCAAAGACATGTCCACTCTCCCTCGCTAAAGGGGCCCCTCTCCCATGTGCCTGCCACCCTCCTTCCCTCTTTACCTCTCATCCCCTCTGCTGCCTCCCCTCCTCCATGTGTGTGGGTCTATTCTAAGGGTTGGCATGCTTCAGGGAGCGTGCCACAGTGTACTTTCTATAGGAAGTGTTCCTTGGGGTGATTGAAGCCTCATGACCAGACTTGTTGCTTATTTATTTATTATTTTTGAGGCAGGGTCTCACTCTGTTACCCAGGCTGGAGTACTGCTTTTGTTCACAAATGACATTTCTCTATGTAGGAAGATGTTCTAGTTAATAATGTGTTTATTGTGGGTGTGCAGGTTAAAAATTCTGGTACTGCTATCCATTCCCCTGGAATTGAACAGCTAAGTAAATGGATGTTGGTGGCTGAGTAATAAATAGGTATAAATAAATAGCACGATCACAGCTCACCACAGTCTTGGCTTCCTGGTGCTCAAGTGATCCTCCCACCTCAAGCCTCCTGAGTAGCTGGGACCACAGGTGCACACCGCCTCACCCGGCTAATATTTGTGTTTTTGTGTAGAGACAGGTTTCACCAAGTTGCGCAGGCTGGTCCCGGGCTCAGGCAATCCACCCTCTTCAGCCTCCCAAAGTGTTGAGATTACAGGCAAGAGCCACCACGCCCAGCCTTGTCACATATTTAAGCACTGGTAATATCTTTATTATTCTGTGGTCCTTTCAGTTGCCACAAAAAACACAACTTGAATTTAGCTTGTCCCTTGCCATCTAAATAATGGCCTCCCGATTACTCCTTTCTAGGGCAGTGGAAACCAAGCCTTAAAGCCCCACAGCCCCAGTCCCTCCTTCCGAACACTCTCTCCAAGGTTCCCGGTAGCCCAACTATGCCTGGCACTGATCACAGAGCCCAGAAGCACCTGCCTTGCAGTCACCCTTCCCTTCCAGACATCCCTGCTTTCCAAAGCTCATGTTGCCCACTTGGCATTCTCTCTCTTTGCCTTCTCTTGAGCAATGTGACATCACCCATGTTCCTTCTGGCCTCCTTATCTAACCTCACCATCTCTCTCTGTTGCTCTTTTCTTCTTCCTCTCTGTACAGCAATAAGTACATGCAACTTGTTTTATCATGCAAAGAAACATCCCTTTTCTCTGACACCTTGGGAGTCACCAATACCCAGGGTCTTACCTTGATCAGTGCTAAGGGTAGAAAATATTTTTCCAGTCATGATTTTATCTCCCCAAAATGTATTCTGATGCCTGTTGTGGGGCAAAACAATGTAGCCTCCCCATCACAAATAAGTGTGCAAGAGAGAGGCCAGTAAATAATGGCAAACATTCTTCATAGATCTCATTTTAAAATGCAATATGATTCTTAGTATTTGAATGGTGTCTACACTAAACAAAAATAATGAAATTGAAAAACTCATTCTCTCAGATTTTCTGCACTCAAAATTCCAAACAATTAACTTGCATGCTTGCATGATTTTTTTACAGAATTGGTAGAATTACAACAGTTGCTCAGGTGTCATATAGAGACACCATAAGACATTCATCTTGATTTCCTTTTTCCCTCAGGTACCATTTGCAAATAAATATATGCACTCTATAAAATCTTTGTCATAAATATAGACAGCTGACTCATAATGCTAGCTAACAGGATTTCAGCTTTTTCTCCAAAGAATGTGCAAAGCAATTCGGTTCCAATCCAAGTGGAAAAAAAATCTCTAAAACTTGTATTTTTAGCAAGCATCTTATTGCATTATATAAGAATGCTGAGAAAAAGTGTAAACCCACACCTGTCATTGTAAATCAGAGGGCATGACACTGTCCTTTTCTTCTGCTGGGCACCATGGCTGTGATCATTCTACGCAAAGAATTCCTAAAATATCAGTTACTACCAATGAATCAATAAGCAATTACTGAGAATCTGTTCTGTACAAAGATCTGCACTTGATACCCTGTGACAAAAAATGAGATACAAAGGATGGCTTTCACACAAAATCAAATAATGCATTGCAGTCCTGGGACTGCCACAGACAAACCCTCACTGGGGCTCTGAGGTTGTAAGTGGTGTGTAGCAGAGCTCCTTACAGAAACTCAGAGAAGAAAACTGAGATTTGGGTTCATGGAGGAGGGAGAGTGTGTGTGTGCATGTACATGCAAGTGTGTGCGTGCATGCATATGTATGTGTGTGTAGATGTATACACACATGTGTGTGTTCTGTATATGTATGTGTGGATGTGTACATGCATGCATTTGTTCTGCATCTATGTGTATGTGTGTGCAGATGTGTACATGCATGTGTGTGTATGTGTGTGCGGATGTGTACGTGTGTGTATTCTGCAGGCATGTGTATTTACAGATGTGTGTGTATGTGTATGTAGATGTGTACATACATGTGTATGCATGCATGCTTATGCATGTGTGTGCAGATGTGTACATGCATGTGTGTGTTCTGCAGGCATGTGTATGTGTGTGTGCATGCATGCTTGTGCATGTGTGTGCTGATGTGTACATGCATGTGTGTGTTCTGCATGCATGCTAGGACCAAATGTCTTTGAGAGAGAAATAATGCAAAATATGCACATTAGACAGGAAGCTGATAAAATGACATTTTATAAGGCAAGGTGTTTAAGGGGAATTTTACTTTACTTCTACCAGATGAGTGAGCTGTAAGAGTGATGTGGAATCGTTCTGTTTTAATATGTAGGGACCTCTGGCAAGGACCACAGCTGACATGCATAAGTCTGGTGGCCTGGCCTTGTGTCACCAGGTGAATGCCGCAGAATCAAGACAGGGCCGTTGCTTGCTGTCCTGGAAGCGATTCGTCAGAGAATTTGTCTTTTCTTGATTGTTCACTCACAGTCCCCACGGCTCAACATGTGTCTGCCTCCATTCTTCTTTTGGAAGGCCAGTCTTCCCGGGGTCTTGATTCCTAATTCCGTGTGCTCCTAGGTGTGTGGCATTGGGGTCTCAGGTGTTTGGCTTCTCCTCTCCTTCTTGTTCACGTACTTGGTCTCTCTCAGGTCATCTCAGACACACACACACACACACACCTGTGTCTCCGTATGGGGTGGCATTATAGTAGCTGCACCATCCTCTTCCTCCCTCACATCTCAGACACACACACACACACCTGTGTCTCCGTATGGGGTGGCATTATAGTAGCTGCACCGTCCTCTTCCTCCCTCACATCTCAGACACACACACGCACACCTGTGTCTCCGTATGGGGTGGCATTATAGTAGCTGCACCATCCTCTTCCTCCCTCACATCTCAGACACACACACACACACCTGTGTCTCCGTATGGGGTGGCATTATAGTAGCTGCACCATCCTCTTCCTCCCTCACATCTCAGACACACACACACACACACCTGTGTCTCCGTATGGGGTGGCATTATAGTAGCTGCACCATCCTCTTCCTCCCTCACATCTGAGCAGACCCATGGCCGTCTCCTCACCCTTCCCTCACTCCCTCCTCAATGGGACCTTCCACTGTGAACCTTCCCTGGAGAAGGTTCCCAGTGACAACATGGACACTGCCCCTGCAGGTCCTCCCGCTTTCCAGTGACCACCCTGGAAGTGCCCTGGAAGCCACAGGCCTCTCCTCCAGAACCTCCTCCCTTGGCCTCTCCAACACCAACTCTCCTCTCTGGCCTGTCCCTGGCCCTCCAGCACCTCCTTAGTCTCATTACAGACTTCATGTTCTCTTCCGTCTCTACATACTGACGTTTTCAAGGATTCTGTCATTTGAATCTTCCTGTCTCTGCCCAGTGGGATCTTACATAACAGACACATAACCTCTCTGGGCCACAGTTTCCTCTTCTTTAAAACATATATGCTAATGGTATCTATCTCATAGTAAATATGACGATTAAATTGGTGAATGCTTATAAAGCACTTGCAGGTGTGTTTGACATCAGGAAATGCTAAGTTAATCTGTCTAACAGTATATCATATGCTACCCTGAAGGATCTCATCCCCTCATACTGATTGTTCCCAAAGCCTTATTTTCTCTAAATTCTAGATTACCTATTGGATAACTTCATTCCCTGTAAGCATATAAATAATAACACCAAAACTGAGCGAAGTAACACACACACGTACACAAACATACTTCCACCCTGTTTAACGCATCACTTTTTCACATTTCCCATCTTAAAGAAAAGCAATGTCACTCACCTAGTGCCACTCACTAAAAGAAATGTCTATTAATTCTGGTCTGAAGGAGTAAGTGTGATATCAAAGAAGGTAAGGAGTTTTCGGTAGATATAAAAGACAGTGGGGAAAACTGCCATAACTGGTGAAGAGTCAGCGATGGGGAGGGTCAAGGAGACGCCCAACAGAGAAACACACTCCCTGGTGGAATGTCACAATGTCCCCAAACCTCAGAGCTGAGAACGAGGACAGCCGTGGAGCAAGCTGGCTCACAAGGAATGAGTCCTAGCGAAGCAGTGACCAAGTCACTCCTCAGTGGACTTCGCTTAGTTGGTCTTGCTCTATGCAGCCTCTGCCATGGTAGGCCCTTTCCTGAGAGAATCAATTTGGGGGCATCAACAGACAAAGTAAAAATATAATAAAAATAATGAAAACAATATCTAACCAGAAACAGCTTGCTTATAACAGGATGTGTTTCCCCATGTTGCTCCCACAACTTCGGCCCCTTCCCGTTGAAATCTGCACACCTGCCTTCCCCCAAACTGACCACCAGAAGATAGAAGGAGCTGAGACCAGGCACCGGGGAGCGGGTCTGAGGGGTGGGGCTTCCCCAGGGCTGTGCTTGGGAAAGCTGCCCTCAAGCTGGCCACATCCTGAGTGCCCTGGCACCTGCCACCTCCTGTGTCCCGTGTGAACGCTTCTGCAGAGAACTCTGAGGGGAACGGAGGAGAGCCGCAAAGCCTCGCCTCTCCCCAAGGGGCTCTCCGCTGTGGTTGATTCCCTGCCTATACTTCGGATAGAAAATCTCTGTTTCCTGGGAAAACACCTAATTGTGCATTGCAGGTGAGAGGGGCCCTCCATGGAACTGAAAGGCACCAGAGAGGGCCCATAGGAAAACCATATAATGGCCTCAATTGTTAACTTACTGGATACTTACCAGCTACCTTAGACATGGACCTATGAATGTAATTAGGTAACAGAAAAATCAGCACCTCAAAAAATGAGAATCAAGTTTACTAAATGTATATGAAGCTGAAGCTCTATAATATAGTAATAGGATTCTGACACCATAGCTACAATACATGCTTAGGTTCATATGTTAGTTAAACAAATAAGCAAAGCACAAGAACAAGAATCACTGAAAAGAAGAAAATATAAAGTACAAGGAACTGCGATAAGCATTAACTCCAATACAATTCAGAATACAGGTCAAAGTAAGTGTTGGTGATGTGGTATATAAATGTCAATGCAGTGGTTTAAAACAGTCTTAAAATTAAAGATACTTAATGCAAAGTTAGAGATACTTAATTTCAAAACACAAAACTAAAATTAAAATAAACCTAAAATTAAAGGTCATTAAAAATAAATTTCTGCTATCTGTGGGCAGTGAGAGTAGAAGTAGGAGAGATATGGAAGGATGTTTATATCAGTGCAAGCCAGAGAAATTATTCAATACAAGGGAGGCTGATAAAGTCATTAAGGTTTAAATGCATATATACAAACTTTAGAGGAATCCACTAGTACTATTAGTAATATGATATGGAAATCAATAATATTTCATCAATCAGTATTAGCACACAATCAAAAGAACAACAAAATGTGTAATGAAAAGAAAATGTAATGTATTGTGGCTAAAGTAATTTAGAGTATTTATGTTTTGACAAAAATTGTAAATGGATTATATTCTCCTGCTAAAAGAATCAGATTGATTTTTAAAACATCTTTCATTCACATACTTTTTCTGGCATGCATACATTTAAAACAACACAGTGTTGTTGAAAATAATGGAAAAGCTATGCTTTACTGGATTACTTTAAAAAATAAAAATAAAACGGTAATAAGAATATTGATAACTAAATTACAAAGAGGTGTGTGAATATGGGGGAGAGATTGAGGTATGTCAAAGGTAAGTCATAACAGAACAAAAAAAGTAGAGAAAAGAAACCATTTACCAGTAAATGTAATAAGAAATAAGAAACTACTAATTATCAAAGCTTACATTCAATGAGTATATTTGAGTGTATATAGCAAGCAAGAATGAAACCAAGTTTGAAAAATCACTTCATGAAATCTTTAGCACATTTCTATGTTTTAGCTAAGATATGCATTACCAATTTTTCTATCTCAAAACAGAAAACTTGATCTCACAACAAACTACATTTAAATAATTATTTTCACCATAGACAAAATGGAATTCAAGTGATCTATCTTTACCAAAAAACTTTCATTGTATGGTAGAAAAGAATGATAGAGAAATGTTTAATTATAATTAATAATATTTAATTACGTTTAATTATAAAGATTTAGCACTTCATCTCTGACTTCAAGTATACAAATCTAAATATTTTCATTTTATTCACAGTAGATATAAAACCCACATATATCCAATGTTGATACTGTAGGGTTTCATGTCACTGTGCAATTGGAGAAAACCAACATTAGGAATGGTTTCCAGGATGCCTCTTATAATTACATTGGGAACCTAACACTGTATCCTGAGTGAAAAAATTATAATAACAAGATGTCATTAGAGAAACTCTTACCCCTATTTAATCAGGCAAGAAGCTTTCTCTGACTTGCCTGTCCTCACTGTCCACATGCAAGTTTCCCTCCACACATTGCTTCTTTCTTGTCTTTATTTCCGTGTTACCACCTGCATCTTTTTATTCTCTCTGCTCTCCTGTTCTTCTTCAGGTCAGATGAGCTCCCATTCCTACTGCCTTCTAAGGGATATGGCTTTCACGCTAGCCTTGGATTCTACTGATACCTACATTGGGTACTTGAGACTCTCAACATATTTTCAGTTTTAAAATGAATGCAAATAGTAAAAAACAACTCAAAGCTGTTGAGACATACCTTGGGGAAAATAATATTGGCCAGTTCCAAGAGAATGTTCAATGGATTAAAAAGAACCAGGCCTGAGAAAATATCTAAAAAAGCCAACCCAGTGAGATAATTAGTTGCTGAGAAACTGGGCTAACTCACCCAGAATCCACTATTTGATATTTGATCATAATTATATCCAAATAAGATGTGGACCCAAGGAGATTTTGATGGAAAGAAAAATAACCTATTTATAATTAAACGGGATTCTCGGTGATTCAGCAGTCAAAGGGCTAAGAAAGCCTGTGTTTTCTATTTGAATCATTTGAAAAGCTAATTGTGACTAATAATTCTGTAAGATCCCATCTGCATCACCGCTGCATTGTGTAGGTGATGTGGCCACTGGGCCACACCCCGACCTCTCCCACAGGACTGGAGGGCCTATTCCCCCAGCTGGGGGTGCTCTGAGGGTCCTCAGCTGTCCACCACCCCCCACAGGATCCCCCAAATGGCACAATTCAGGACAAGTCTGAAGGCCGTTTGGGGGCACGGCTCCCGCAGCCCACCTTCTCCCTCTGCTCTCTCTCCTGCTTTCTTCTCTCCCTTCTCATTGACCTAATAACAATCTACCAGATCTCCATTTTCAGACTCTGCTTTTCAGGGAACCTGCCAGCAAGAGTCATTCCTAGTGCAACACTTCAAAGTTGAGGATATTGAAAACTAACAACATTAAGAGATTTTTCTCAAGATCACAGGGAAAAATATGGCAGAACTGCAGTTGAAACATTTATTGTTTGGGACTCCGTAAAACCGGTTCACTTCACACATACTCCATGTTGTGGGGACTGGTCTGGGCAGGAGTGAGCAGACGCCCCTGCACCCATGAGTGTGCATGTTTGTGTAGGGGAAGCCCAGATACTGCCTGTGTGTTGCTGATTGGAATTGCTCAGCCAGGATCCCTCTGCAAGGCCACACCAGGGCAATATGAGGAAAATGATGTCTTTCCATGGGTTCTCCGTGCTTCTCCTCCAAAGATACTGTTTCCCAAGATCTGTGCGAGCCATGTCTTCTCTCTCATCTCTCACCAAGCTTCATCTATTTTCTGTCATTTCTGTCATAATTGACCACAGCTATGGTCTTATTGTTGGCTTATGGTATTTGGTTAACCAAATATCATAACTAAGTGGCTTATAAACAATGGAGACTTATTTTTCACAGTTGAGAAGGGTGGAACTCTGAGATCAGGGTGCCTGTAAGGTGAGGTTCTGGTGAGGGCTGTCTTCCAGCCTGCCTATGGCCAGTTTCTCACTGTGTCCTCACATGGTGGAGAAGAGCAAGAGAGCTCTCTCATATAGGACACTCATTTATGAGCTCCCATATAAGGGATTGGATAAGGGAACTAATCCCATTCATGAGACTCCACCCTTGTGACCTGACCACTTCCTAAAGGCCCACCTCCTAATACTATCCACTGGAGGCTGGATTCCAACATACACATTTTGAGGGAACACAAACATGCGCTCCATAACAGTGACCATAGCTGGAGCCAATGCTAAATCCAACTAAAGTGCAAATATCCTTCGATGAATGTGTCACCCTATAGAGAGATGAATGTTGGGCAGTCGTCCTGAAGGTCTGACAGGTGAATATCAAGCAGTATAAACAGGAAGTAACTGGGAGAGATGACCCCTTTCCACCCTGTAGCAATGGGAGCTAACTGACACCACCCTTTGCCTTATCTAAAACACCATGTCTATAAGATCTCTGGGCTGGTCACCTTGGGATTGTAGCACCAGACGCACCCTCCACCCTTCCTCACTATGTTTTCTGTCCAGGGCAGCTCACCTGTGTGAACAGCATCCAAGGCTCTCTGGCCATCTGCTTCTAATTGGGTTTGGTCACTGCAAAGACAAGCAGATAATTGGAAAAAGGAAGGGATGAAGTTTGGATATGGCTATGTCTAGCTTTCTTGGGTATCAAAGACTGGCTCTGTGCCTTAACAAACAGTCAGGGATCCGACGGGGGCAAGGGGGTGGGTAGGCCTCTCCCTACAGTTCCCTGTCCCCAGATTCTGGTGGGCTCTCCTTCCCTCATCGTCATGCTGAGGATCAATTTGCCCTATTCCCAGCCCCAGGTCACTGCAAGCACATGGCGGCTTCCCCACTCTACCACACTTATGTGAACTGCCTCTTGAGAACATTCTTCACATCATCTGAATGTGTCATTCTGCTTTCTGCCAGCTTCTTAAATACTACAGTCCACTACATGCTTTCAACCAGACAAAGGTTACTTCTCTGCAAAAAAAAGAAAACAAACAAAAAAAAAAACCACATGTAATGTTTTAGGCATCACTATTCTAAGAAAATGCATTTGCATTTGATTTTATCATTTGTATAGACAGGCATTTGAAGTGAACAGTTTATGAGGTGCTTGCTGGCAGTGTGATTACATATCGTTATGTGACTTTTTAATTTGGGGATGAAGTTGAGCCAACTCTAAGCAGGTATCTATCTTTAGAAAGTAAGTTGACATTTAATTGTTAAATAGGAATTTTTCTCCCCAGGGTGCTCTTGTTAAAATACCAGTATCTTATTTTACAACATTACTAATGTTACTAAATTTAGCTTACCGTATTCTATGTGTTGGTTTTATTTTCCCAACCTCTAAATTAAAATGCAATTTTTTACTATTTTTTGAATATTTAAAATATTGAGTGTTTCATAAAGGCTTCCTATCATTAAGAAGGAAGATGGGCTTCTGTCCTTTCATCATAAAAAAACAGTCTCACTGAGATCAGGAAGAAGACAAGGCTGTCTCCTGTCACTTATTTTATTTCAACACTTACTAGAAATCTTAGCTAATACAATAAGACAAAAAAGGAAGGAGATGCACACAAATTGGGTAGAAAAAATAAAACTTTGTTCACAGATTACATAATTTTAATGTGGGAAATCCCAAAGAATCAACAAAAATTGTAGCAAATAATTAAACTAATAATTGTAGCAAAAAATTGAACTAATAAGTTATTGGAGAATTTAAGGTCAATATACAAAAGCCAGTCGCTTTTGTTTATACCAGCAATGAACAATTGGATTTGATTCAAAAAACACAATAGCACTTACTCAGCACTTCAAGAATGAAATACTTAAGTACAAATGTAGCAAAATTGTGTACAGTATCTGTATGAGGAAAACTAAATTTTGAAAACCCTGATTAAAAGAATCAAAGAAAAATCAAATAAATCGAGAGATATTCCATGTGCATAGAGAGAAAGCCTCAATATTATCAAGATGTCAGTTCTTCTCCCATTTGATCAACACAATTCCCATCAAAATTTTAGCAAGTTATTTTGTGAATATGAACAAACTGAATATAATATCTGTATGAAGAGGCCAAAACCCCAGGAGAGCCAGCACAATTTTGAAAGAGATAAAACAAAATTAGAGAACTAACACTACCTGACATCAAAGCTTACTATAAAGCTACAATACGCAAAACTGTGTTGTATTGGTTGACCTATACAAACATAGTCTTGACAAAGCATAAAGGCAACACAATGGGGACAAGATAGCATTTTCAGCAAACGATGCTAGAATAGCTGGACATTGACATGCAAAAACAAAAAAAAAAAAGAAAAGAAAAGAAAAGAATCTAGACACATACCTACACCCTTCACAAAAATCAACTCAAAATTATTCATAGACCTAGCTGTAAAATACAAAATTATAAAACTCCTAGAAGATAACATAGCAGAAAATTTAGATAAACTTGAATTTGGCTATAACTTTTTAGATATGACACCAAAGGCACAATCCATGAAAGAAATAATTGATTAGATGGACTTCATTGAAAATCACAATGTACAAAATACATCATGAAGAGAATAAGAAGACAAACCAGACTAGTAGAAAACCTTTGTGAAACACATATTTGATAAAGAACTGGTATCTGAAATATATAGAGACTCTTAAAACTCTACGAGAAGAAAACAAACAAATCATTAAAAAATTGAGCAAGATATCTACACAGATCCCTCACCAAATAAGATGTATGGAAGAAAGTAAGCATATGAAAAGATGTTCAATAGCATATGCCATTAGGAAATTACAAAGGAAAACCACAATTAGGTACCTCTAGACACCCAGAATGACCAAATTCCAAAGCACCAGCAAAATCAGTTGCTGTTGAGGATGTGGAGAGGCAGGAACTCTCATTCTTTGTGTGTGGAAATGCAAAATGATACAGCCACTTTGGAAAACAATTTGGTGGTTTCTTAAATAATTAAACAGGCACTTTCCATATGATCCAGTTACTGAGGATTAAAAGATAAAGGAGCATTACAAGCCAATATCACTCATTTAAAAAGGTAACAAAATACTAAAATATTGATAAAGTAAACTATTCTAATATTTTATGTGTGAATGTAATATTATATATAATACCTCATTACCAAATATGTATGTATGTGTGTATATATTCATATATACACATCATCTATATATACATCATACATATGTATACTTCATATATATAGTACATCATTATCAAATTATGTTTATACCAGGAATGCAAAGTTAGTTTGACATTGTCTGGGCTAAATACCATGCAATTTCTAATCCTTTCACTATATAGAATTTATTTCTCAACATGAAAAAAATCTCAATTGATGTTTTTGTAAAAATATATTTACCTGGTGGGGTGCGGTGGCTCACACCTGTAATCCCAGCACTTTGGGAGGCCAAGGTGTGTAGATCACAAGGTCAGGAGTTCAAGACCAGCCTGACCAACATGGTGAAACCCCATCTCTACTAAAAATACAAAAATTAGCCGGGCGTGGTGGCACGCACCTGTAATCCCAGCTACTCCCGAAGCTGAGTCAGGAGAATTGCTTGAACCCAGGAGGTGGAGGTTACAGTGAGCTGAGATTGTGCCACTGCACTCCAGCCTGGGCAACAGAGAAAGACTCCATATCAAAATAATAATAATAATAATTTTATGTAAATATGTATATATACACGTATATATATTTACCTTCCCAGTTTCAATGCAGCCTTTTAATAATGCGTAGGAAATGTATTTAATCATATTTTAAATAAATATGCAGAGAATCACAGCCATTGTAAATTTTCTGAAAATCTTACTGAGTGCCTATGAAGGGGCTGTGAGCTCATATGGTTTTCTTACTAAAAGAGGCATTTTGCATTCTGCTGAGAGCTCTCCACTCTGCCACTTATCCTGAAGGTGTTTCCATATTGTCTTTCATATTCATTATTTTTCCTTTGAATTGCATGAGTTCCAAGAACATGGAAAAGATGCTGAAGAAAAAGCTTGCCCCTCCCGGGCTGAGTGATCACCTCTCTACTCTGCAGCTGCCACAGGAGGTGGCGGTGGCTGCAGGGAAAGAGCAGCACATTCCCTGTCCTCAGCCCCCTGGCGCACCCCTGTCTATTCCTCCCTAACAGCTTTTTGGTGAGAAAACTTGTATGATGTGCTGTCTGTTGATCAGTCAGTTTGGCCTCAGCAGCTTGTCCTGCCTGAGGTTTATTGAGCAGGATGGCATTCCCATCTCTGCAGCGTGCATCAGTCATGATAAGGATAAGAGCTGCCCCTCTCAGGCAGGCAGGGCCTGCGGTCTGTTGCATAGTGTGGCACCCAAGGTACTGCACCCAGAACCCAGCACTGGACTCTGCTGCTGGAATGTTGGACATTCAGCAGTGGTAGGAGAGAGCCCATACTTTCAGAGCCACACACAGACTTCATCCCTTCAGAGTGGTCAAAAGAGCCACTGTGTTTACTGGTCCACTGTGCAAGGGCTGGGAGCAGCTGTAGGAGAAGCAGGTGGCCATCCAGGACAGAGATCACTGTTTCCAGCTCAGGCACTGATGACCCTTCATGAGTTGGCATATATTCCTGAGTATCTCCCTACAAACAAAATGGAAAACCAAATGTACTGCTCAACTCGCCACCTGGAGGGCTTCCCTGCACCCGTGTTCTTTAGGGGCAATGCTGAGAGGGGCTGCAGTGCAGCCAAAGTCCACATCGGTCTAGGAGCAACGTATTGTATGAATTCTGTGAATGTCACTCAAGTCCCTTTATGCTCTGCCGGCTGATGCTGGAAGCCTCCCATGAGGCCAGGTAGGAGCTGAGGATGAAGTGCATCAGGGCCAAAGAAGCAGGTGGCATGGGCATCTGGTCTACCTGATGATGTAACCAACTCTTTCCTTCCTGCCTGGTTCCCAAATGTGTCATGATCATCATCAAATGATGACGCATTATTGCTGCCTCCAGGAGCCGTAGGACATGAAGAGCCTCTAATACTGAGATCACAATTAATTCACATCTGTGTGGCCAGTTACGGATGCGGACCCGGTAGCAGCCAGTGGGCAGTGCTCTGTAAACGGAAAGTGTTCTCTGCCACTGAGGATAGTCCAGGCTCTGGGCATGTGCCTCTTCCTGGAACAGGGCTCGTGCTTTCCTCATCACGGGGTGCTAATAACTGAGGCAGTGGAGGTCATTCCCTCCAAATGACCAGTCTACAAATCTGCCTTGTAAAGTAACCCACAGCAGCAGTTTTCTTAATTCCCTCTGCTCCCTAGAAAACAGAGAATCAGGCAAAATGTGTGTGCTGAGATTTTTGTTAAGTGCAATTCCAGCATAGTAAGACTAAGGGAAAAAAGGAAGTGGGTCAAGAAAGAAAAAGAAAAAACATTCAAGATGCTAAATGACAGAAGTAGAAGCACTCGGTAGTAACGGCCGGCAGCTCAGCCTTGCAGGCTGTCTTTAGACAGGTCTTGCTGGCCTGCCCAGCTCAGAACAGACCCTGGAGGGAGAAGTGGAGGGGATTTTTCTGCCACTCCCTTTTTGTTGCTCCTTGGTCAAAGGACACCACACAGGGTCCTAAGTCCCAGATTCTATTACACGGCTGCTCTCATTAACCGTAGGATGGTCAAATCCACCTGCCATGCCATGCTGAAGGAAGACGAGGATGAGGGAGCTAAATGACCATGGTTGCAGCTGAGCTGGGCTGGGTGGAGCTCACAGTGAATACCACTGCAGCCATGCCAAAGGCTGTTCCGCATCCCCAGGAGGCTGAAACAGCCTGCAGTGTAGACATACGAGCCACAACGATGGCACCTCCATTAAACAAATGCCCAAGGTGCATGCCGCAGTTGGGAACAAGCTGTGAAAAGGATTAGGATTTGGATGCAGTAAAAATCATAACAATTTTATGAACATTATAAACCATTTTGAACCAATGTTCACTAGATACAGTTAATTCCACTAAGTAAATAAATCCCTTTCATCATTCCACCATATCTATTTGTATCTGGAATCCTATGAACAGAAAATAAAGGCAGAAGGATTTAAAAAAAAAAAAAAAGAACAAAGGGGAGGGATAAGCAATGAGTTTGCCATTGTGTGTCTACCATGTACAGTTATGGAGAGAATAGGACACTTCACATACCTTACCTCATTTTATTCTCACGTTAACTTCTGTGTTAGCATCACTGCGGGCATCATGAATGAAGAAGTTAGTGTTGATGAGATGAAGCCATATTCCCGAGGGGGGTTCCATAGCTGCAGCAGAAACCGTGCTCCTGGCTGCAGAGTCTGTCTGCCCTTGGATTGAGCCAACCAATTCTCTGAAATTTCAACACTCCGTCAGTCCTACCTAGCGTCGTTCCCCAAAGTAGTTTATTGTATACTACGTATCAGCATGGTACCATACTAAGTGATGTCTTTTTAAATCATTTCAAAATGGTATAAACTTGTCTAGTTTTAAAAAAGAAAAAGCACAGCCCTCTCATTGGCCAGACTTGGAGGAGACGTAGATAAAGCCAACTGCAGGTTTTGAGGAAGAGCTTCCTCTGGGGTGACGCAGCAGCTGTGAAATGCCATCGCAACCCCCTCTTTGAGTGGTAATTGCTTTCTTTCTAATAACATCCTAGAACTGCTTTGCTATTTCCACCTAGAAATTGGATACCTGATTGCTAAACTGCCTTTAACTCATGACAACACCTAATCCCGAATTAATCCTCACTTTCGCTAATCCCTCCAAAGAGCAGCCAATTCAGAAAGGATCCCTGGCTCCCCTAGGCCCGCATCTCATTTCCAGCTCATAACAGGTTCTTCCCCTCACCGTTTAGGCTCATGTACTCTTCCCCCCGAGCTCCCCTTAGCTGCACCAGATCAAAAAATCAAACTACAGATTTTTCCGAGAGTTCACGGGGAAGTGAATGTGTATGTTTTATGCTTAAAACAGATGTTCATAGAGCCTAAAACAGGCCCAGGACTAACACACGTGGTCAAAAAATATTTGTTCAATTATCTTATCTCAATAGACATTCTCATATCATTTTAAACCAAGCATATGATTTGATTTACGCTGACCACCTGAGGCAGTTCTTTTGCATAGACAGTGAACCCCTTTGTGACAAGAGTGCAATGGCTGCTGGACTTAAAATGCTACCACCTGGCTGCTTCTCAAAATTGCTGACTTCCAAGAAAAAAGTACTACAAAAGAAATGTGGTTACCAACAGTAATTCTTTTATATTTATTATCTTCTTTCTAACTCTATTATATGTACCTAAATAACTATATTGCATGGACTTAAATACAATTTGCATTAAAACTATACAACACTTCACAAATTCTTTGAATCCTACATGCAAAGCAAAATCTGATCATTTCACAATAGCAAGGGATTCAAGAGAATGCATGGCCCAAACGCCCTCGTTATACAGGTAACATCAAAGAGACTCAGAATGGCTAAGCTGACAGGACAACCAGAACCAGGGCTACATACTATGCACCTGACCGCCAGTCAAGGGCCCTATCTATTAATATATCCTAATATCTGACATTTAAAGATATAAAATGGTCATAAAGGTTGTTTCAGAATTTCATAAAAGGTAAAATCATATTCTCTTGTTGATCATAGATTTTGAATTTAAAACTATGAGCATGTAGTTACTAATCATGATTTATCAAGAGCAGCATGTTTGATTAAGTTCTACACTGACAATATGTAGCTCCTGTTAAATAATTATCAGGAAGCATAATAAAAACATATGAATGATAGAAAATATTTTTTACTCTTGTTAATTGGAACTTTTCTTGCAGTCAACCTATATATTGCATTGCCTGTAATTTTTTAGTGCAAGATTTTTATAACATATCTATTCTACAAGTATAATGAAATCACAACTGTAAAAACTGGTATGAAATAACAATAAAAGGTCATTTTAATTTTTGTTATTATTAGATTGCAAAACATATGTCTGCTTTCAGTGTAATCACCATGCAAAAAAAGGCTATTCATCTATTCAGCTGCTGTCTTGTTGAACCCAATTATGACTTAGTGAGGAGCTTTGTCATTTTTCAAGATATTAATTAATTTTTGAGCACAGATTAAATATTTTTAAAAATGAAAACTTGAAACAGATTGTGAAAGCTTATCACATAAAAGAATCTCAGTAGTACATCTCTGGCTATTCACAAAACATATTAATTTATATTTTATCTGCTGAGGATTTTTCTAAGGCTTAAGAGTGAAAACTGGTGCGTGAATTTCTCTATAACTTCCAAAAGGCAGCTTCATTTTTTAAATTCACCCTAATCAACATTTCATTTTGCCAAGCACCTCTGTGAATGTGCTTCCCTCTAGATGTGTGCGTAAAGTCATTTCTTCGTCTTCTACTTTAAACTGCCCTCCTACGAGTGCGAAGCCGACAACCTTTGAAAGGAGGCTTCCTGGTCTCTGTGTGGCAAATCCACCCCACCTCTCCAGACTTACTTCCTTACAGTTCTCTTTAGCGCTAAACACACTGCACACATGCACATAAGCACATACACACACGTGCACATGGAAACAAATATGAGTGCGTTGGCAAAGGAGCTCACACGGGTGCAAACACACACATGCAGAAACACGTGCAGACACATACATGGCTGCAAGCGCGTGTGTGTGTCCACAGGCATGGGCACATACACACACCTGCATGTACGTGCACTCACACAGAGCCTGTCTTCACACTCATCGACACACAGCCCCCGGGCACCTGCCCGTGACTATCCCAGCTTCCTCTGCATCTGCACTGACCACGCAATCATCGTCTCCCTATGTTTAGCGCCGAAGTTGGCTCCTCCATTAAATATGTTCCAACCCCTCAAATATCAAAAAAAGTGGCTCTCTGTTCTGGGTTCTAAGTCATTTTTTTAGATTCCTGTAATGTTTATGGGATAGATCTCAGCTCTTCCAGGGGAGGAATGACCATGCTGGAACAATATCAAGTGCAAGTCTATATCAAATATTAATTGTAAAAAGTGTTACGTGATAGGTAGTTCCTCATATCTCCATTTTAAGTAAAGAAACTGGAACTTTGGAACATTTAAAAACCTTTTTCGTGCATTCATTGATAGGATTCATAGCCAAATGCACCCAAGTTCACCCCAGTGATTACAAAATACAGTTTGTTTTTATATCTAAATAGTAGCCCCTTCAGAATATATTATCAGTTATTTCTGAAAGTTACTGCTGTTCTTACATGTGCCCATCACAAGGTGCCAACCACTGGTCAGTGCCCTCTGACCCTGAATTTTTGGAAACAAACCTCACCTCTGTCACAATTGTTTAAAAATAGGCAAACGGTCATTCAAGTGCAGAGTGTCCCCTGAATGATCCCAAGGCTGGCACCCTGCAGTGACAGTGCAGGGCTCATTCAGAGGAAGGACAGCAGGGGTCTCATCAACTGCAGAACACACTGTGGTGGCCATTGCAAACTCCTATCGTCCACTATCAAGCTCAGCCGGAAGGATCCCAAAGTTGGCACTCTCCAGTGACAGGGCAGAGTTCATTGAGAAGGAGGAGAGCAGGGGTCTCATCAACTGCAGAGCACACTGTGGTGGCCATTGCAAACTCCTGTCATCCACGCTCAAGCTCAGCAGGTGCACAGAGGCTGACGGGCAAACACAAGATTCTTCCATCCCCCCCACCCCGCCCTCCTCCAGCTTAGGGCCCGAGCAGACTCACCTGCTCCATTAGTCATGGTGAGGCAATTGTGTTGGCCAGGGTTCTCCAGAGAAACAGAGCACCCTGTTAGACACACACACATGCACACGCACAAACACAGACACACACACATCTGTGTAGGAACCGATTCACATGATCATGGGAGCTGGCAAATCCAAAACTGCAGAGCCAGCGTCCCAGCAAAAAGGCCGCCAAGCAGGAGATGCTCTGGCCTCGGGGAGGCCAGCCTTGTTCCATGCAAACCTTCACCATCCAATAAGGCTCACTCGCGTTTGGGAGAGGGACCTGCTCTCCTCAACCTATTGATACGAATGTTAATCTCATCCCAAAACACCCCCACAGAAACACCCAGAAGGACATCTGACCCAATATTTGGGCACCCTGTGGCCCAGTAATGCTGCACATAAAATGAACCCTCACAACACCCAATCCCCCGCCATCAGCACATGCTAAGGGCCAGATTGGTGCACGGGTGCCCGTGAGGGCAGCATTGCAACAGACGGACTTCCAGCCTAAAATGCCCTTTTATAAAAGAAAAAAATTGCCACAAATGAAGAGACAAAACAAACTCAAATGAGAAAAATATCACACTACAAATCCAAACCTCAGGCATTTCATTATATTCTGATCCGACATAACATTGTGCTGCTAAGGTTTTAAGTGTTAGGGTCTCACTGTTTCAAAAGCACTTCTAAAATGGCCACACTGCCCAAAGTAAGTTATAGATTCAATGCTTTCCCTATCAAGCTACCACTGACTTTCTTCACAGAATTGGGAAAAAAACTACTTTAAACTTTATATGGAACCAAAAAAGGGCCCGCATAGCCAAGACAATCCTATGCAAGAAAAAAAAAAAGAAGCCAGAGGCATCATGCTACCTGATTTCAAACTATACTACAAGGCTACAGTAACAAAGACAGCATGATACTCGTACCAAAACAGATATATAGACCAATGGAACAGAACAGAGGCCTCAGAAATAACACCACACATCTACAACAATCTAATCTTTGACAAACCTGACACAAACAAGCAATGGGGAAAAATTTCCCTATTTAATAAATGGTGTTGGGAAAGCTGGCTGGCCATACGCAGAAAACTGAAACTGGACCCCTTCCTTATACCTCATACAAAAATCAACTCAAGATGGAGTAAAGACTTAAACATAAGATCTAAAACCATAAAAATCCCAGAAGAAAACGTGGGCAATACCATTCAGGACATAGGCATAGGCAAAGACTTTATGTCTAAAACACCAAAAGCAATGGTAACAAAAGCCAAAATTGACAAATGGGGTCTAATTAAACTAAAGAGCTTCCACACAGCAAAGGAAACTATCATCAGAGTGAATAGGCAACCTAGAGAATGGGAGAAAATTTTTGCAATCTATCCATCTGACAAAGGGCTAATATCCAGAATCTACAAATAACTTAAACAAATTCACAAGAGAAAAAACAAAACCATCAAAAAGTGGGCAAAGGATACGAACAGACAGTTCTCAAAAGGAGAAATTTATGCAGCCAACAAACATATGAAAAAATGCTCATCATCACTGGTCATTAGAGAAATGCAAATCAAAACCACAATGAGATACCATCTCATGCCAGTTAGAATGGTGATCATTAAAAAGTCAGGAAACAACAGATACTGGAGAGGATGTGGAAAAATAGGAATGCTTTTACACTGTTGGTGGGAGTGTAAATTAGTTCAACCATTGTGGAAGACAGTGTGGCAATTCCTCAAGGATCTAGAACTAGAAATACCATTTGACCCAGCAATCCCATTACTGGGCATATACCCAAGGGATTATAAATTATTCTACTATAAAGACACATGCACACATATGTTTATTGTGGCACTATTTACAATAACAAAGACTTGGAACCAACCCAAATGTCCATCAATGATAGACTGGATAAAGAAAACGTGGCACATATACACCATGGAATACTACGCAGCCATAAAAAAGGATGAGTTCATGTCCTTTGCAGGAACATGGATGAAGCTGGAAACCTTCATTCTCAGCAAACTATCACAAGAACAGAGAACCAAACACTGCATATTCTCACTCATAAGTGGGAGTAGAACAATGAGAACACATAGACAGAGGGAAGGGAACATCACACACCAGGGTCTGTTGGGGGATGGGGAGCTAGGGGAGGGATAACATTAGGAGAAATACCTAATGTAGGTGACAGGTTGATGGGTGCAGCAAACCACCATGGCACGTGTGTACCTATGTAACAAAACTGCACGTTCTGCACATGTATCCCAGAACTTAAAGGATAATAATAAAAAAAACTCCTCTTCTTTGAACTGCTCATATAGGTCTTCTCAGCCTCTGCTCCCAACCTTAGATTCCCTTCAAAGAAAAACTTCTCTGAATCTTTATTTCTGACTTGCTTTATGTTTATTTTTTGCCTTTCTGGACATCGCAATTACCTGGGAAGTCAAGGACCTCCATGGCGCATGATGACACACACTTGTGTGTGTTGCCCTGCATCCCGGGCAACTTGCTCTGAGAGCACAGGACCTCCTTAGCCCATGTGCCTTCCACAGCTGGCGTGGCCTGCTGGGATTACTCAGACAGGAGCACAGGTGCCTCCTGGAGAAGGAGCAGAATGAGCAGGTGTCGACATGATCTCACAGGTTTACAAAGTTCTGGTTAAATAAATAGATCTTGGTGACATAATGTTCCCTTCCTAAATATCTCTTTGGTAGATGCAATTTATAAACTGATTTTGTCTGTGAATCATTCTACACATTCAAAAATGGAACTGATGCTAACTTTTCCTTTTTGTAGCATGAAGAAAAATACCTACAGTGAGTCTTTGAATAAACTGTTAGATACAGGTAACCACTATCATAGTGTTATTTTACACGTAGCCATTTACAGCCCTTAATTAAACAGCCAACATCTGAAGAACAAACTGAAATACTGGGTAAATATGGCAATATTATCCACTCTGAATAAATACACTTAAAACAGGCCCAATTGACCTCAATCTTAGTATAATTCTGCTAGGCAACTAAGCAAAGTAAGGCAAATTACATTGCCTTCTCCCAATCTTAGTATAATTCTGCTAGGCAACTAAGCAAAGTAAGGCAAATTACATTGCCTTCTCCCTCCTCTCCCTCCTCTCTCTCTCTCTCTCTTTCTCTCTCTCCTTCTGTCTCTCTGTCATCCCACCAGCCACATCTCTCAGAAACAACCTCAATTAACCCAGAAAATTATTAGCTTCAAGAATTATAAAGAGTTAATAATCTTAATACAAAAGGGCTCACAAATAAAAAATAAAATATGAACACAAAATAGAAATAAATTAAAATATCTAAAGAGAAAAAAGCTCAATAAATACATTAAGATGTGAACAATATCATGAATAAGCAATAAAATGCAAAAATATACCAGATACCAAAATTTATGTACCAAAAGGCATAAGCTATGTCTAATAAGAATACTAAATCTTTGCAAAAGAATAGTGAAAAGAGAGTTATCACGCATTGCCTATGGGAATACAGGTGTTAGAATACCATAAATTCCCTTGCAATTGCCTATCAACATTTCTTTAAAATTCAGGTCCTTTTACTCAACATTTCTGTGATAAGAATCAATTTCGCCTTTACCTCCATAATCTGAAAGATTCAGGTGAAAGATGTGTGCAAGTGTGTTCATGATGCCATCATTTATGAGGATGTAAATTAGAAACTGCATACATGGCCAGGCGTGGAGGCTCACGCCTGTGATCCCAGCTACTTGGGAGGTTCAGGCACACGATCGCGACACTGCACCCCAGCCTGGGCAACAGAACA
Organism: Homo sapiens; assembly: GCF_000001405.40. Classification (NCBI taxonomy): domain Eukaryota; kingdom Metazoa; phylum Chordata; class Mammalia; order Primates; family Hominidae; genus Homo; species Homo sapiens. The sequence goes on along the minus strand of NC_000010.11, from coordinate 1,781,820 downwards.
AGGCTCTGTCTTAAAAAAAAAAGGAGAAGAAAATAAAATATAGGTCTGGCGCAGTGGCTCACGCCTGTAATCCCAGCACTTTGGAAGGCCAAGGCGGGCGGATCACCTGAGATCAGAAGTTCCAGACTAGCCTGACAACACGGTGAAACCCCATTTCTATTAAAAATACAAAAATTAACCGGGCATGGTTGCACATGCCTGTAACTCCAGCTATTCGGGAGACTGAGGCAGGAGAATCGCTTGAACCCGGGAGGCGGGGATTGCAGTGAGCCGAGATTGCACCACTGCACTCCAGCCTGGGCGACAGAGCGAAACTCTGTCTCAAAAAAAAAAAGAAAAAAGAAAAGAAAAGAAAAAAACCGCCTGCATATGGAGCAGCAGAAGGGCACTGACCACAGTGGGACGCATCCGTAGAACAGACGCTCTGGGACAGGCTTCTCACATTTGTCTCAGATGCCCTGATGTGCATCATGAATTTTCTTTTTTCTGAGAAGCAGATGAAATCGACTGTGACAGTTGTCTATACATTTTGTTTCACCAAGATCTCTGCATCATTTCACCAACATACAGATTAGACTGTGGAAAGAAACACCAATGCTTCCTCCTGGCTTAAAGTCAGTCTGTCTGAAGACTATGTATGCTTTATATTTACCTTGCTGGTTAAGAGCTTTAAATTTTTTCACTGAAGTTTTGATATCATGGTGAAGATAGAGGTAGCAGGATAGACTAGAAAAAAAAATCAGAATCTTAAAAGAGTCTTCTACATACCCCTTGAACCAATGATAAAAGAATTAGTATATTTTGTTATTTTTCTTATTATAAAGCAAAAACAATATTTATGAATTATCTTTACTGAAGAATTTTTTTAAAAATGAAATGTCTTCCTCTAGTTTTCATTAAAAATAAGCACACAGCACTGCAGCTGCTGGCTTGCACATTGGTGATGAATTAATTAATAAACCTATATAACATTGAAGAAAATAAGCTCTTCCTCTGAAATACTAATATTAATGTTGAAAACAAGTTTTCCCCTGCTAGGTAGCTTAAATATCTTTCCTTATCCCATTTGAAATATTTAGGAGAATCTCAAAGTGTTTGTGAATGGGCACAAACTACAAAATTTCATTTCTTAATTTATCTTCTCTATTTGGGGATAATTTTAAGCTCCTCATTTCCCCAACGTTCCACTGCTCAATCTCATCTCAGTGCCTTAAGGGAGCTGCATCTATACATGGCATCAGCAGGATATGTGCACATGAGAAGGAGCCCATGTTGTTGGGACAATTTAAATTCAGAGGGACCGTCTCCATCACGGGGACCCTCCTGGTCCTGGAACTGTGATGTCCAAGGAACACCTGCCCACCTGGCTGTTTAGAGCCTCCTCTGGAGTCCATGTCTTCCGGGGCATACACCTGCCCACCTGGCTGTTCGGAGCCTCCTCTGGAGTCCATGTCTTCCGGGGCATACACCTGCCCACCTGGCTGTTCGGAGCCTCCTCTGGATTCCATGTCTTCCGGGACATACACCTGCCCACCTGACTGTTCGGAGCCTCCTCTGGAGTCCATGTCTTCCCGGGGCATACACCTGCCCACCTGACTGTTCGGAGCCTCCTCTGGAGTCCATGTCTTCCGGGGCATTCACGTGGAATTTCAAGGTCATCATACTTTGTGGCCAGGGCCATAGGTCCACCCGGAGGCTTTTTCTGGATATGTCCTTGTACCAGATCATGCAGTTTGTTCTGGAAGGAGTCTGTTGGCCAATCACTGGCAGTTTGTGTGTCCTCCCGCCGCAGGGCAGCACTCCCACCTTTCCCGCTGGACAAGCAAGCATGCTGCACGGGGCCGGGGTTTGTGCCTGTGGTCCAGATCCACTCTGCCCTGCTCTGTGCCTCTGTTCTTCTCAATGTTCAGCCACTTGTGTTTCTGCCCACTATGGTTTTAGGTTTTTATGCGCACAGGATGGGAAGGGGCATGGCAGTCCAGAGTGGGCTTGGAAAATGCAACGTTCAGGTGCAAAAACAGGAGTACCTGTTCTCACTTAGGTCCATGGGCACAGGCCAGAGGATGCAGGCTTCACCAGGGACCTTGCCCTTCTCTATGCAGCACTTCCCTGCCCCCGTCACATCTCCCTAAAAGGGTTAAAACCAAACTGTGCCCGGACGACTTTGGGCAAATGTTCTCAATGTCTCCTGAGGGCTGCATCACGGGCCATGGTCACTCATATTTGGCTCAGAATAAATCTTTTCATATGTTTTAAAGAGCTTGACTCTCGCGTCCACACTAATATGCACTTTTTGCCAGTTTATATTAAAGGTGTTTTGTGATTTGAAGCTGTTGTATGTATTGGTTATCTTTCTTTCCCTCTATTAGAATTCTTATTTATATAAAACTGAAGAAAACAGTGAGATAAATCTCATAGGTCTATGACCCAGCATCAACAAGGAGCAGCCATTCTGCCACCGCTGTGCAGTGGAGTCACTGTCAGCGGCATCATAAAGAGCTGTGGGTGTGGCTGGGTGCAGTAGCTCGTACCTGTAATCTCAGCACTTTGGGAAGCCAAGGCCGGCAAATCATTTGAGGTCGGGAGTTTGAGACCAGCCCGGCCACCCTGGAGAAATCCCCGTCTTTGCTAAAAATACAAAAATTAGGCAGGCGTGGTGACACGCACCTGTAGTCCCAGCTACTCAGCAGGCTGAGGCAAGAGAATCACTGGAACCCAGGAGTCAGAGGTTTCAGTGAGCCAAGATTGCACCACTGTACTCCAGCCTGAGCGACAGAGCGAGACAAAAAAATAAATACAAAATTAAAAAGTCGTAGGCCAGCTTCCCTCTGGTTATCCCTTGCTTTGCTTTCTCTTTGTGGCTCAGTCAATGACACAACTGTGGTCACTGGACGCAGACCTCGACCACATCTTGAATCCCCTGGTAAACTTTTGCATGAGGAAGAACATCAGACTGGGGTGCAGAAGAGGATTCCTTCTAATGGCCCGTGGGCACTAGGAAGCCCATGCCTTCCTCATTATTTAATTGTCTCCCTGCCTGGGGAGAGCCAGCACACAGCGAGAGCCACAGGTGCTGCACGCGGATGGCACTGAAACGGAGCTTGCTCTTTTCTCTGACACGCAGCTCCCAGTAACATCACGATGGATCTGGCCTGATTAATCACTTACGAGATGTTGGAAAAATCACCCAACACATTTTTTTGTGCAAGATTCCTCTATTTGAACACTCTCAACTTCCCATTACCATGGAAACCATAAAGATTCAACTGTGAATTTCAGTTTGAGATTTTTTCCTTGGCTGGTTGTGTATAATTAACTTTTGTCATATCATGTATTTTGATACTCCAGAGAGGGCTGCTGTAATACTAACAAGCCCAACTATACTCTATTTTAAAAGGTGGAAACCCCACAGTGGTGTCTAGGAGACGGATTCTTGTTCTAACTTGACTACAGCTGCATGGATCAGAAAAGGGGAACTTTTGTTGGCCTGGCCATCCTCAGTCTCAGTGGTGGCTGCAGAGAAGTGGTTCAAGAATTATCTGAAGTCTGGCTGGGCACAGTGGATCATGCCTGTAATCCCAGCACTTTGGGAGGCCAAGGCAGACAGATCACTTGAGGTCAGGAGTTTGAGACCAGCCTGGCAAACAATGGTGAAACTCCGTCTCTGCTAAAAATACAAAAATTAGCGAGGCCTGGTGGCACATGCCTGTAATCCCAGCTTGGGAGGCTGAGGCAGGAGAATGACTTGAACCTGGGAGATGGAGGTTGCAGCGAGCCAGGATTGTGCCACTGCACTCCAGCCTGGGCAACGAGCAAGACTTCGTCTCAAAAAAAAAAAAAAAAAAAAAAGAAAGGAAACAAAATTATCTGAAGTTCTTTCCAACACAAAAATCCTGTGAATCAATAATTGTTGTAATTGTCTTCTCTCTCAGATTAGAAACACAAGCAATAGTAATGTCTGAGCACTTTGAAGTCAATGATTCCATCTCAAAAGCCTAAACACTCTTCTCAATCAGATTGATAGACATTCTAGGGAACACTAAAGAAGCTTTAAAGCTTGGACCAGTAGGCAAGTGGAAGTCAACGGCATTCAACCTATTAGTAAGCAAGATACTAGCAATAATAATAATGATAATGATAAAAATTTCTACTCCTTAAGTGACTGCATGTGCCAGGCACTGAGCTAGGTTATTATAGTATTTGATGGAAACGACTTTTGACAGGTCACTATTAACATCTGTTCTCATAAGGAAAATTAGTTTCAAAAAATTAAACGGCCAGTCCACGACCTCTGAGTAAGTGGCAGATGGGTGTGAAATCCTCCTGCCTTTCACAGCCTTTTCCCTGCTATTTCCCTATCTCAGCCTGCCTTTTCCACTAGGGGAGCCCCTTGTTTCTGAGAGCCACACTTTACTTCCACTGACCTTTTCTTAAATTATTGTCCCTCAATTTTCTGATAACTAGTACTAAGTTCAGCAATTTATATTCTGATGAAAAAATAACAAATGATATTGAAAGCTCATATTTGCAACATTTCCGTTCATTGTGCACGGCAAAAAAATAATAATCCAAAGCAGGTTGTCTCCTTCCAAAAATGATTTTAAAATATCAAGAACTGCCTGTGAAATATGGCACTAAAACAAAGTGTCAAAGGGTCCAAGAGGATACCAGTAAAATAGCTCTGTCCCCAACAGCAAATCCAAACAGGTCTGCAGCAAACTCACTCCTTGCCATCTCCCTCAGAGGAGGAAAGAATTCAGCTGAGGGGCAGAAGTGGGTTTAAGGCAGAGGGACAGACAAGCAAGTTTTAGAGCAGAATTGAGAGTTTATGAAAAAGTTTTAGAGTGGCCGGGCGCGGTGGCTCATGCCTGTAATCCCAGCACTTTGGGAGGCCGAGGTGGGCGGATCAGGAGGTCAGGAGATCGAGACCATCCTGGCTAACACAGTGAAACCCCACCTTCACTAAAAATACCAAAAAAAAAAAAAAAAACAAAATTAGCTAGGCATGGTGGCTGGTGCCTGCAGTCCCAGCTACTCGGGACGCTGAGGCAGGAGAATGGTGTGAACCCGGGAGGCGGAGCTTGCAGTGAGCAGAGATCGAGCCACTGCACTCCAGCCTGGGCGACAGAACAAGGCTACCTCTCCAAAAAAAAAAAAAAAGTTTTGGAGCAGGAACAAAAGGAGGTAAAGTACACTCGGAAGAGGGCCAAGCAGGCGATGTGAGAGGTCTCAGTGCTCCATCCACCCTTGACTTGGGGTTTTTTGTGTTGGCATGGCTCTGGGGTTTGCATTTCTTCTCCCTTGGTTCTTCCCTTGGGGTGTGCCGTCCGCGTGCACAGCGGCCTGCTAGTGCTCAGGAGGGCCGCAGGCACGGTGTTTACTGGAGTTGTGCGCATGCTCACTTGAGGCATTCTTCCCTTAGCAGTTGGGCGTCCTGGAAGAAGGTCATATACTGGTTAAACTCCGCCATTTTGCCTCTTAGTGCACATGCTTGAGTTTGTTCGTCCAACTGCTGAGGTCTTATCGGGAAGCTGCTGATCATCAGCTTCAGGTGTTTTCTATGGAGAGGCTGCCTTTCCCTGGCAGCAGCTGCAACCAATTATTATTTTGGAGAGACAGTTTAATAACTGCCTGACCATCACCTGAGGGTCACCTGACATTCCTGGACGGGGGGCCCTCTCCTGCCCTGCTCATGTCACTGAGCTCCCTACTCTAATAGATCGTTCCATGTACATGTGTGTGCCCATGTACACATGCATAAATACATGTGTATTCAGAGGTTTGTTTTGATCTCCTTCTTCATTATCTATTGGTGCAGAAAATTTTTATTGCAATGTTTCAGACTGTTAATGCTTTTGTGCTGATTAAGACCTAATACTACTGGACAATTCAGTCAATGGAGAGTCTTGTGTTCTGAATGCCACAGAAATAATAGCCAGAGATGGGAAGCCACTGGAACTTTAAATATCCACACACATAACCCAGCAGAAAAACCGTAAGCTTCAATTTTAGTTTGAAAGATAATCACATAGGACTTAGTTTTCCTTTCTCTTATACTTTCTGTCATTTTTAAATGTAGCTGAATGCCCACTGGAACCACTCTGTCCTTAAAGATGTGAATAAAATTGGACCAATGCTCCTGTCCAGGATGATTGTGGTAACAGCCTAAGAGTTCTGAAAACCCCTCTTGCTCTAACTTTTATCCCTTCTCTCTCCCATCTTACTCTCTGCAGCAGTCCTCTTTCCTTTCCCGAATTTCCTTGGGAAAATTTCCTATTTACTCTGGCCCTGGCCTGCTGAGCTGACAGTTTTTTCTTAGGGCATTGACTATTAGGTTGGTGCAAAAGTAATTGCAGTTTTGGACCATGAATTTTAAGTCATTATAACTAGGTTTGAGCACATCTTTTTTAATTTTTTATTATTTATTTTTATTTTTTATTTTTTATTTTTTTTGAGACAGAGTCTGACTCTGTCACACAGGCTGGAGTGCAGTGGCATGATCTCGGCTCACTGCAACCTCCAATTCCATGGAGGGTTCAGAGACCATGAAACCAGCTCCCCACTTCCATCTTTACAGGCTATTTCTGCAATTGCATCCTGTATTTCAAACCCCCAAATCCAGAAGTAGAGTTTCTTAAGCACCTGAAATTGGGAACAAGGAATTGCAACCTACCTGCTCCTACCCCAAAGCCACTCAGAGCTGGAGCCACCTCCTGCATTCCTGGCCCCACCTCTCTCTGCTCTCAAATGGCCAGATACTCTTCTCTGCCTCCTGTCTGCACACTTCCTCAATCTGCTTCCTTAAGTCCTATCGTTTTTTTATTATCACCTCCATTTATTTGACAAAGAGCTGTGGATGTCTCTCTTCCTGTCTTTCCCTGATAAGCGTTCTGCTAAATGAAACACAATGCAGCTATTGGTGCAAATTACCGAAAAGATAATGTTGCCTGACATGGGGTCAATGGTGTTGTTAGCAATGGAAAGGTAGTTTACATTTACACAAAAGATCGTTCGAATTAAAGAGCCTGCAAGTAACCTGCTGGGTATGAAGGGCAGAATTATAAATATGCTAATATGCCTCGTTATCATATGACTTTGTTGCTAATAAAATATTGAAAAATTATAATTATATTAAATATAGTAGACACGGTGCTTTTCACATTCATATCTGATATTTAAACTTTTATCTTGACGGCCACAAATTAAAGAAAGAAATACATTCCACAAGCAAGATGGGTTTTGCCATCAGCTCTTTTTGATTACAAAATGCCTCTTTTAAAATTTGGGATCTTTAAAAAATAATTTTTTTAATTGAATTCATGATAACAATCATTCTTGGGTAAGCATCAGTTTTTTTCTGGGTTCCCCGCCCCCCCACTTGATTTTGACTCTAGGATGTACATCTCACTTACAAAGAGGGAAAACTCCCTATTTGGGGGTTATTCACAGGCCACTGTGAGGTCGATTACAAACGCCCAGGGAGAAGCTCATGATGGCCACAATCTAGTCCAGGGATACTATTTACACGGTAACCTTTCTTGGTTGGATACGATGGCTGTTCTTAAAGTTAAAATGACACATATTTCTGCTACATGTTGAAAATTCATAGCATCCCAGATTTATCCCTTTACAAATCACTTTATTTACTTTTTCTCATCAGATAAAATATCGAGAGTCTGAGATTTAAGTGCCAGGAGTAGTCACTGCCCTGTTGTGTCCTCACTCATCCGGGAAGGAGGGAGAGGCATGAGCCAGGCCAGTTACAGCATAGAATAAAGCCCAGCTGCAGCCATACCTGCGGTCGGAATTACTTCCTCACAGACCATTAGCAGAGGTGAATATATATGAGTCTGCAGCAACTCAATTCTTGCCTCTTCAAAAGAAAGAATTTGGCCAAGGGGCATAAGGCAGAGTGTGAGATTAAGATGACTTTTAGAGCAGGAGTGAGCGTTTATTAAAGTTTTAGAGCAGCAACAAAAAGAAGTAAAGGACACTCGGAAGAGGGCTAAGCAGGCGATGTGAGAGGTCTCAGTGCTCCATCCACCCTTGACTTGGGGTTTTTTGTGTTGGCATGGCTCTTGGGTTTGCATTTCTTCTCCTCTGGTTCTTCCCTTGGGGTGTGCCGTCCGCAGGCCCGGTGTTTATTGGAGTTGTGCGCATGCTCACTTGAGGCATGCGGTCTGCAGGCCCGGGGTCTATTGGAGCTGTGCGCATGCTCACTTGAGGCGTGCGGTCTGCAGGCCCGGTGTCTATTGGAGCTGTGCGCATGCTCACTTGAGGCGTGCGGTCTGCAGGCCCGGTGTCTATTGGAGCTGTGCGCATGCTCACTTGAGGCGTGCGGTCTGCAGGCCCGGTGTTTATTGGAGTTGTGCGCATGCTCACTTGAGGCGTGCGGTCTGCAGGCCCGGTGTCTATTGGAGCTGTGCGCATGCTCACTTGAGGCGTTCTTCCCCTAGCAGCTGAGCTTCCTAGAAGGTCATACACTGGTTAAACTCCGCCACCTTGCCTCTTAGTGCGTATGCTTGAGCCTGCTCGCCCAGCTCCGGAGGTCTTATCGGGAAGCTGCTGATCACCAGCTTCAGGTGTTTTCTATCTATGCGGAGACTGCCTTTCCCTGGCACTGACTGTGATCAATTACTATTTTAGAGAGAAAGTTTAACAACTGCCTGACCATCACCGGATGGTCACGTGGCAGTCCTGGGGCGGGGCCTCTGCTTCCCTGCTCATGTCTGCTGAGCTCCCTACTCTTAACAAGACCACCAGGGCGTTTCCGTGGAGGGTCAGTGTGGATAGAGGAGTAGGATACGGAGATGCTAGATTGAAGCATATACCTCTCAGTATGAAGAACAGGTAAGAATTAGACGCGAGACAGGCATCCAGGTAAGGAGGAGACCTGGATAACAATGGTGATCACTGACCCCCTTTCTCTCCAGGGCACCCAGCACAGGCAGACTCCTTACCACACACATCAACTCTTTCAGGGCTCACCATGCTTAGATTCCCAGCCCAAATCCCAGGACACTCTTGCTCAGTGTCACAGACTACCAATGTCACATGAACTTGCCAGGGCTGGGACCTGAGCCCAGGTCTGATTCCAAAGCCCTTCCTGGGAACAGAAAAAGGAGGAAAAGCAGACCCGGGAGAGGGTCTGGAGCATGAACTGCATGAACTGCACATTTTATTGCCTTGTAAACATTTCTACTGCAGGTGTCCCGATGGCCCAGCAGCGTCTCATCAGTAAAGTTCACCTGGCCAGGCGCAGTGGCTCACGCCTGTCATCCCAGCACTTTGCGAGGCCGAGGCAGGCAGATCACAATGTCAAGAGATCAAGACCATCCTGGCCAGCATGGTGAAACTTCATCTCTACTAACAATACAAAAATTAGCTGGGCATGGTGGCACACTCCTGTAGTCCCAGCTACTCGGGAGGCTGAGGCAGGAGAATCGCTTGAACCCAGGAGGTGGAGGTTGCAGTCAGCCGAGATCACACCACTGCACTCCAGTCTGTGTGACAGAGCGAGACTCCATCTCAAAAAAAAAACGAAACAACAAAAATAGCAACAACAACAACAAAAACCCACCTCACCTCTGCTGCTACCTCTCATGCACAGAGCCAACTCGCACGGTATTTCTGATGGAGAGTCATCCAGTCTGTGGAAAGTTTTCACGTCCTGCCGAGAAACCCTCTTCACTGAGACCTGGCCCTCTTCATTAAGAAATTCCTGCTTTGTATAACAAATGGGTTTTTTTTCAATGCTCAGACACTCATCATCGTCCAATCTCCTGGAGCCATGTGGAGGAAAGCACTCCACCTCCCTCAGAACAGAGTTTCAATAACCGAGGACAGCTTCGACGACTCTCAGCGTCTTCTTCAGGCCAAGCCAGAGCAAACTGGCTCTGCCGTCCTCCGCAGACTGAGCGGTGTCTCCCAACAGCACTCACGGTGAGCGTTATCTAGTGATTGATAATCCAGGTGATCTTGATTACGCTTCTCTAGGTAAATTACAGATTATCAGTGTCGTCTCCCTCTCATGCCCCAGACCATACTTCCTATTTCACTCTTTCTAGCTCTGAATCCGTCCGCGGAACTCACACTGTTGGCTCATTATAAGCTTATTGCCAACTAAAACTCCTAGCTCCATGCCTGGCTGTCTGGGCCCAGCAGGCCCTCCAAATCTATACTTCGGCAGCTAATGTTTTTTTGGTTGTTTCTTCTAAAGGTGAGACTTCACAGATGGCCCTGTTAAATTTGCTTTTCTCGGCCTTGGTCCAGCATTGTACCTGGTCAAGGTGACTGAGATAGGCGAAGAAAGGAAGATGACAGTACAAACTATAAGGATGACTATAAGTCCAAAATGAAATAAATTCAAAATAAAGAGGTCTCAACATAATCAGGAAGAATAATAAACTTCAGGGGCAGGGCCAAGGGTATAAGTCACATAATACTAGACAATGGTTAGGGCACGGGGTGCCATTTCCTTCCACCTCTGTCCAGATGTAAGGGGAGCCGCATTCACGTGGAAATGCGCCTCGTGAAAAGCTAAATACCCCTCATCAGAAACACGTGCTGTGAAAAGCAGGACATCTCTCAGCAAAGCATTTTTCTCTGTCCTGTCTCCAATATGGATTTTCAGTAGCTTTAGAGATGCCGGTCAAGTAGATGGGAACATAAAAATAACCTGACTTAACTGTGTTCCCTGTCCCATATCAAACACTAAAACTGAATTATGTTTCCACATATTCCCAGCTGTCCTATCATCACCTTTATTTATGACATGCATCTGGTAACAGAGGGCAAAGTACATAAAATTCCTTAAAAGAATTAAATGGACTAAAAATTATTAGATTTTTTGTGTGTGTGAATCTGATTTTTTTTTCTTTTCTTTTTTTTATTTTTTTATTTTTTTTTTATTATACTTTAAGTTTTAGGGTACATGTGCACATTGTGCAGGTTAGTTACATATGTATACATGTGCCATGCTGGTGCGCTGCACCCACTAACTCGTCATCTAGCATTAGGTATATCTCCCAATGCTATCACTCCCCCATCCCCCCACCCCACCACAGTCCCCAGAGTGTGATATTCCCCTTCCTGTGTCCATGTGATCTCATTGTTCAATTCCCACCTATGAGTGAGAATATGCAGTGTTTGGTTTTTTGTTCTTGCGATAGTTTACTGAGAATGATGATTTCCAATTTCATCCATGTCCCTACAAAGGACGTGAACTCATCATTTTTTATGGCTGCATATTATTCCATGGTGTATATGTGCCACATTTTCTTAATCCAGTCTATCATTGTTGGGCATTTGGCTTGGTTCCAAGTCTTTGCTATTGTGAATAATGCCGCAATAAACATACGTGTGCATGTGTCTTTATAGCAGCATGATTTATAGTCCTTTGGGTATGTACCCAGTAATGGGATGGCTGGGTCAAATGGTATTTCTAGTTCTAGATCCCTGAGGAATCGCCACACTGACTTCCACAATGGTTGAACTAGTTTACAGTCCCACCAACAGTGTAAAAGTGTTCCTATTTCTCCACATCCTCTCCAGCACCTGTTGTTTCCTGACTTTTTAATGATTGCCATTCTAACTAGTGTGAGATGGTATCTCATTGTGGTTTTGATTTGCATTTCTCTGATGGCCAGTGATGGTGAGCATTTTTTCATGTGTTTTTTGGCTGCATAAATGTCTTCTTTTGAGAAGTGTCTGTTCATGTCCTTCGCCCACTTTTTGATGGGGTTGTTTGTTTTTTTCTTGTAAATTTGTTTGAGTTCATTGTAGATTCTGGATATTAGCCCTTTGTCAGATGAGTAGGTTGCGAAAATTTTCTCCCATTCTGTAGGTTGCCTGTTCACTCTGATGGTAGTTTCTTTTGCTGTGCAGAAGCTCTTTAGTTTAATGAGATCCCATTTGTCAATTTTGTCTTTTGTTGCCATTGCTTTTGGTGTTTTAGACATGAAGTCCTTGCCCGTGCCTATGTCCTGAATGGTAATGCCTAGGTTTTCTTCTAGGGTTTTTATGGTTTTAGGTCTAATGTTTAAGTCTTTAATCCATCTTGAATTGATTTTTGTATAAGGTGTAAGGAAGGGATCCAGTTTCAGCTTTCTACATATGGCTAGCCAGTTTTCCCAGCACCATTTATTAAATAGGGAATCCTTTCCCCATTGCTTGTTTTTCTCAGGTTTGTCAAAGATCAGATAGTTGTAGATAGGCGGCATTATTTCTGAGGGCTCTGTCCTGTTCCATTGATCTATATCTCTGTTTTGGTACCAGTACCATGCTGTTTTGGTTACTGTAGCCTTGTAGTACAGTTTGAAGTCAGGTAGCATGATGCCTCCAGCTTTGTTCTTTTGGCTTAGGATTGCCTTGGCAATGCGGGCTCTTTTTTGGTTCCATATGAACTTTAAAGTAGTTTTGGCAAATTGGATAAAGAGTCAAGACCCATCAGTGTGCTGTATTCAGGAAACCCATCTCATGTGCAGAGACACACATAGGCTCAAAATAAAAGGATGGAGGAAGATCTACCAAGCAAATGGAAAACAAAAAAAGGCAGGGGTTGCAATCCTAGTCTCTGATAAAACAGACTTTATACCAACAAAGATCAAAAGAGACAAAGAAGGCCATTACATAATGGTAAAGGGATCAATTCAACAAGAAGAGCTAACTATCCTAAATATATATGCACCCAATACAGGAGCACCCAGATTCATAAAGCAAGTCCTGAGTGACCTACAAAGAGACTTAGACTCCCAGACATTAATAATGGGAGACTTTAACACCCCACTGTCAACATTAGACAGATCAACGAGACAGAAAGTCAACAAGGATACCCAGGAATTGAACTCAGCTCTGCACCAAGCGGACCTAATAGACATCTACAGAACTCTGCACCCCAAATCAGCAGAATATACATTTTTTTCAGCACCACACCACACCTATTCCAAAATTGACCACATACTTGGAAGTAAAGCTCTCCTCAGCAAATGTAAAAGAACAGAGATTATAACAAACTATCTCTCAGACCATAGTGCAATCAAACTAGAACTCAGGATGAAGAATCTCACTCAAAACCGCTCAACTACATGGAAACTGAACAACCTGCTCCTGAATGACTACTGGTTACATAATGAAATGAAGGCAGAAATAAAGATGTTCTTTGAAACCAACGAGAACAAAGACACAACATGCCAGAATCTCTGGGACGCATTCAAAGCAGTGTGTAGAGGGAAATTTATAGCACTAAATGCCCACAAGAGAAAGCAGGAAAGATCCAAAATTGACACCCTAACATCACAATTAAAAGAACTAGAAAAGCAAGAGCAAACACATTCAAAAGCTAGCAGAAGACAAGAAATAACTAAAATCAGAGCAGAACTGAAGGAAATAGAGACACAAAAAACCCTTCAAAAAATTAATGAATCCAGGAGCTGGTTTTTTGAAAGGATCAACAAAATTGATAGACTGCTAGCAAGACTAATAAAGAAAAAAAGAGAGAAGAATCAAATAGACGCAATAAAAATGATAAAGGGGATATCATCACCGATCCCACAGAAATACAAACTACCATCAGAGAATACTACAAACACCTCTACGCAAATAAACTAGAAAATCTAGAAGAAATGGATAAATTCCTCGACACATACTCTCTCCCAAGACTAAACCAGGAAGAAGTTGATTCTCTGAATATACCAATAACAGGAGCTGAAATTGTGGCAATAATCAATAGTTTACCAACCAAAAAGAATCCAGGACCAGATGGATTCACAGCCGAATTCTACCAGAGGTACAAGGAGGAACTGGTACCATTCCTTCTGAAACTATTCCAATCAATAGAAAAAGAGGGAATCCTCCCTAACTCATTTTATGAGGCCAGCATCATTCTGATACCAAAGCCAGGCAGAGACACAACCAAAAAAGAGAATTTTAGACCAATATCCTTGATGAACATTGATGCAAAAATCCTCAATAAAATACTGGCAAAACGAATCCAGCAGCACATCAAAAAGCTTATCCACCATGATCAAGTGGGCTTCATCCCTGGGATGCAAGGCTGGTTCAACATACGAAAATCAATAAATGTAATCCAGCATATAAACAGAGCCAAAGACAAAAACCACATGATCATCTCAATAGATGCAGAAAAGGCCTTCAACAAAATTCAACAACCCTTCATGCTAAAAACTCTCAATAAATTAGTTATTGATAGGACATATCTCAAAATAATAAGAGCTATCTATGACAAACCCACAGCCAATATCATACTGAATGGGCATAAACTGGAAGCATTCCCTTTGAAAACCGGCACAAGACAGGGATGCCCTCTCTCACCACTCCTATTCAACATAGTGTTGGAAGTTCTGGCCAGGGCAATTAGGCAGGAGAAGGAAATAAAGGGTATTCAATTAGGAAAAGAGGAAGTCAAATTGTCCCTGTTTGCAGACGACATGATTGTATATCTAGAAAACCCCATTGTCTTAGCCCAAAATCTCCTTAAGCTGATAAGCAACTTCAGCAAAGTCTCAGGATACAAAATCAATGTACAAAAATCACAAGCATTCTTATACACCAACAACAGACAAACAGAGAGCCAAATCATGAGTGAACTCCCATTCACAATTGCTTCAAAGAGAATAAAATACCTAGGAATCCAACTTACAAGGGATGTGAAGGACCTCTTCAAGGAGAACTACAAACCACTGCTCAAGGAAATAAAAGAGGATACAAACAAATGGAAGAACAAAGAAGAGAAGCAGATGAACATTAATACATTTGAATAAAAACAGATTTTTAAATAAAAACTACATTAAATATTCTCTCATGGCCAGGCATGATGGCTCACGCCTGTAATCCCAGCACTTTGGGAGGCCGAGGCAGGCGGATCACCTGAAGTCGGGAGTTTGAGACCAGCCTGACCAACATGGAGAAACCCTGTCTCTACTAAAACTACAAAATTAGCCGGGCGTAGTGGTGCATGCGTGTAATCCCAGCTACTTGGGAAGGCTGAGGCAGGAGAATTGTTTGAATCCAGAAGGCAGAGGTTGCAGTGAGTTGAGATCATGGCATTGTACTCCAGCCTGGGTGACACAGTGAAACTCCATCTCAAAAAAAAAAAAAATTCATTTTCTTCCTTATATGTCATTAAGCAGAAGAATTTAAAATTCTATTTCCTCGGGAAAGGTATTTCTGTTTAGGTCTAGAACTGGCTCTCATTCAACCTTGCGTATGAAAACACGCAGAGCTTGAGAAGATCAGTGCTTATCTAGAAGAAACATTCTGGGTAACCTTATGTGCCATATTCCAGTGAGAAGATGAGGCAGCTCATGCCAGCCCAA
The DNA here is from genome assembly GCF_000001405.40 of Homo sapiens. Taxonomy (NCBI): domain Eukaryota; kingdom Metazoa; phylum Chordata; class Mammalia; order Primates; family Hominidae; genus Homo; species Homo sapiens. The sequence goes on along the minus strand of NC_000010.11, from coordinate 1,766,485 downwards.
GGAGGAGCCAGGGAGGAACTGCTCAGAGAGCCCAGCGTGTATCTGCAAAGGACGAGACCCATTCGGACTTGCCGGAGTGCAGAGGCCTAGGGAGAGCTCCGACCAGTTGTCACCTCCACAGCTGTCCATGCGGGAGGACTGGCCGGGAGTGCAGAGGCCACAGGAGAGCTCCGACCAGTGGTCAGCCACCCCACAGTTGTCCATGCAGGAGAGCTGGCCAGAGTGCAGACACCACAGGAGAGCTCCAACCAGTGGTCACCTCCACGGCTGTCCATGCAGGAGGACTGGCCAGGAGTGCAGAGGCCTCGGGAGAGCTCCAACCAGTGGTCACCCCCACGGCTGTCCATGCAGGAGGACTGGCCAGAATGCAAAGGCCACAGGAGAGCTTGGACCAGTGGTCACTCCCAGGGCTGGCCATGCAGGAGGACTGGCTGGAGTGCAGAGGCCACAGGAGAACTCCGACCAGTGGTCACTCCCAGGACCTCTCTTTATAAGGCCACCAGTTCCACTCCCATGATTACCCATTAATCTATTAACCCATTAATTTATTGATCCATGAGTCCGCCAATAGATTAATCTATTCATGAAGTCAGAGCCTTCACGATCCAATCACCTCGTAAAGGCCCCAACTTTCAATACGACCAAACTGGGGATTAAGTCTCCAACACATGAAATTTGGGGGACACACTTAAACCACAGCAAATATCAGGAGTTCAGGCCAGGTTTTCAGAGGTAGAAAGTGTTTTGTTTGGTTTTGCTTTGTTTTGTTTTGTTTTGTTTTTCCATCAACATTTTTGAAAAGGGAAGCGGGAGAGGCAAAAATGTGAGTGGTTTCTGATTCACCCCAACACACATACTGCTTACTAAAGAGGCCAGAATGCATATATATGTATTCGTATACATATATACACAATGTAATATAGTGTATGTGACATATGTATATGTTTAAATATACATCATGTAATGTAATACAGGCATCTGCATGCGTATATACAATGTAATATAATGAACTAATGTGTATAAATGTATACATACACATGTATTCACTATTTTTTCCCGTGGGACTACTCCAGCGAATAGTGTGTGTGCTTTGGTGCCATGAGCCCTGAATGCCCCCAAAGCTGACACTGTCAAACCATAGTTGATGCCTTGGAAATCACCTGGGCCCTGGGGTCAGGATCTCTGTCTTCCCTCAGGAGCATGAGACTGAGAATGGAAAGCAGCGTGAAGGGAGAACTGGGGGCTCTGGAGTGAGGCAGACCGGTTTCTGATCACGGCTCTGGGATTCGAGCTGCGTGGCTTGGGTGGCCCATCCGCCCATTTCCTCACCTGTACAACCATGGCAATGCATCTCCTCATTCTGGCTGGGTGAAGGTGAAGGCTCAACAGGATAATGTGTGTGTGTCATGTTCTGCCCAGAGAAGCTCCCCAAAGATGGTTCTCATTGAAATAAGCCGGGTGCTCTCCATAGCCTCACCCTCCTAGACTTTAAAGTGGCGGGAGGGGCCAGCTTCCCCTTCCTGCCTTAACGTACCCTGAAGACTCACTGAATACATGTAAGAGACAGAAGCCTGATCATTTTTCAGTGCCTTGTTAGAGACAAGAGAAAAAAGAATAATTGCAATTGGTCCCACTGGGGAAGGGGTATTGAGACAAACACAACTATCTTTTTTCTCCAATTAAGAAACGGTATTTATTCCAGGTACTCACCAAATAAAAATCACTCAATAATAATTATTAATTAAAGTCTGGGCCTGGCGCTGTGGCTCACGTCTGTAATCCCAGCACTTTGGGAGGCTGAGGCAGGCAGATCACGAGGTCAGGAGATCGAGACCATCCTGACTAACACGGTGAAACCCCGTCTCTACTAAAAATAGAAAAAATTAGCCGGGCGTGGTGGCGGGCGCCTGTGGTCCCAGCTACTCGGGAGGCTGAGGCAGGAGAATGCGTGAACCCGGGAGGCGGAGCCTGCAGTGAGCCGAGATCGCGCCACTGCACTGCAGCCTGGGCGACAGAGCGAGACTCCGTCTCAAAAAAAAAATAAAATAAAATAAATAAATAAATAAAAAAGTCTGTAACAGGTTACTGCTATACCAAAAATAAGCATGTCTTAAGACAGTCCCTGGGAATGCCGTCTAGGGAGACTTAGTCATATCAGCGAATTTAGAAGGGGAGGCACACTTAAAAATCGGGGCACACATCGTTCCCCAAGTTAGAATTTACTTTTTTTTTTTCAGGCCATGAGTTAGACTTCGATCTTGACAGATTTAAGGGGTAATTTTTTACAGTATAAGATGGCATGAAATGTATTTATTGACATTTCAAATTACAGCATTTTCAGTGAGAAAGATGTCTAATTTTGAGCCACTAAAGCAGCATGCTGTAGTCATATATTTCTTGCTGACTAGTAATCATTCAGATACAGGGTTCTTATTTATAGCAGGTATCTAAGATGGGAGTGCCACGTACAAAAACTGTTGTTAAATAGACAAAAAGTTATTGTGATTATTCACATGCTTCACTCGATTTCAAAATGCTGAAGAATTCTATGATATTTCTGCATTTAACAACCATGCCAGCTCAATACAAAATATGAAATCATTATTTCCTGACATTAATGAAGTCAACTTTTCCAGCACAATTTGAATAGGCAATTGAACAGCGAGACTCAAAAATGCATTAAAACCGGATCAGCTGCTTCCTGCTTCCAACAATATGTCCACAATTCCATGAAGGGTAATCTTAAACCATTTTTTAGAGCAGCCTGTACATCTTTATCTTAAAATTCCAAATGCTTCAACAATAGACAATTGTTAAGAACTAGACAATTATTTTTCGGCACCCATTGATTAATGACTTAGTCCATGTTGCAGGGAAACTGCAGAACAAAGGGGTCCGTTATAATAATGCACAGGCATTAAACCATCTTCATTAACAGGATTTTCTGAATTCAGTTTAGCATAAAACCAAATATGCCATCAAGAAAGTGGAGAGGTGAGAATTTTAAATATATTTTGAAAACTCACTTGATAAAAAGAAGATTAAATAATGGTACTGCCCTCTATTAAAATTCCCTCTCTCACTCACTCTCTCTCACACACACACACACACAGGGTTAACCCAGTTAAAACTGTCATAAAACTGCATTTTTAACAGCACAATAAATTAATAATACTTATACATTCATATATCCTCAGTCATTATTAGCATTCGGGAGAACGTACAGTATTTTATGTAATTACAATCTGTTAAACATAAAATGCGATAAAATAACAGAGTGTGAGAGTGGCCGTCCTACGTCAGTAACCTTGCTATGCAATCACAGCAAGGAAGACATGGTTTAAGAAAACAAGATGGTTTTTTAAAAAGTTGTCTTGGGGCTAAACTTTGTCAATGAAAGTCCTGTTCATGACAGAACTGTTGCAAATCCAAGGCATACTTGTGAAACTTCATCCATTTGTTCATCAGAAGGATTCACGAGGCTTCCATAAAGGGACAGGAGGCATAGAAAGTTCTGCTCTGCAGCAGTTGTTCCTCTCTACTTAGACATCTTACTCCTCTACAGACCAATCAGTAGAAGTAAGTCAGGCCATTTCCTTTGGGATTGAAATTGGCATAAGCGCTCACAGACCTGGACGTGACCAGTCCTCACGGGTAATTAGCCCATAACAGGACTCTATTACCAAAGCAACACAGGAAACCCCACTTCCACGGCAAATGACCACATTACTGCAGGCTCTGAGGGCAACCAATCGGGCTCAAATTTTATACAAAGAATTGGCCATTGGGGGGTTTTGTGTTATAATTTAATGGAATTTACAAATGTTTGTAACATACTATTATCCCACAAAACAACAACAACAACAAAACAACCAGCAACATCAATAATGACAGCAAAAGAATCTCGTCATGGCAGTAGATTGAACTTCTGAAAGTAACTTTATGCGTGCAAAGGATGGAAATGTATGTGTGTGAGTGTGTGTGAGTGTGCGAACAAAAACAGACGAAGAGATTTCTGAATGAATCAGACTGCTGGACTATTGTTTTAAAGCCCCGAGGATTGGGACATTCATGCTTTAAGTTTTTGCCTTCGTATCCAGGACTTTCTCACCCTTTTCAATCTTTCCAGCATCAGCTTTTAATCGAGGTGACCTAATCCGACCTGGAGGTTAATGACACAGAGTGTGCAATTAATCCGTGAGGCTTTCTGGGCACTTAAGCCTGAACGGCATCTGGCTGCTGGTGCTGATCTGCTTAAGATGATGATCAGCTGCTGGTTTTCTTGGAAGGGAGGAATTAAGACTTCAGGACAGCCTTGCAAAAGGAGAGCCCTTCACTCTCTCCTGTAAGATAGAGACAACGGGATTCAAAGGACAGGACGATGGAGCTGAAAGTTGGGGAGGGCTGTAGAGTGAGAGACTGGGGGAATTAAGTAAATATCACCAAGGGTTTCAACCAAAAAGCTGTCTACTTTACCCAGGAGGGGCAGCCATGACCTGCGTGAAAGAGTGATCTGCAGCAAGAGGCTTTCTTTCTCAGCCTGGAGTCGCTCATCTTTAGATGTGGAGAGGGACCACCTCCAATACCCTGCAGCATCAGGGCATTCTATGAACAAAGGCTTTAGATAAGGTACTGCTTCTTTGGCCTCAGGGCTTTTTCAGTAAAACCTTCCCCTTCTTTGGGGGGTACTCTTTGCACCCCACATTCATATTCACTCAGTCGCAATCACTGAGCAGGTCTCATCTCAGTTGTCGCTTTTTTAGTGGAAACCTTAAAAAGAAAAAAAAAAACTTCTATTTTAGGTTCCAGGGTACATATGCAGCTTTGTAATCTAGGTAAACTCATGTCCCTAGTTAGGAGGTGTGTTGTACAGATTATTTAGTCACCCAGGTACTGAGCCTGGGACCCAGGAGTTATTCTTCCTGGTGCTCTCCCTCCTCCCACCCTCCCGAGAGAGCAATGGCCAGGTCGGTGCTCCCGGAGCCTGTGGGCCTGTCTTGGGAACGGACCCCTCAGCTGGGGAACCACCTGGTTGATTGTGTTATGTCGGTCTTCACTGTAAAGAAGGCAAGAAAAGGGCTGTGTCTGCCCCGGGTCCTGACTATAATCCATCATCCAGCACAGGGATAGGCATGAAAAAGGGCCTGGAAGGGAGTAAGTGAACCAAGAGTACTGTGCAGATTTAAACACAGATTCTCATGTTCTCTGAAGTCAACTTGACCCTGAATCAGCCTCAACCATTGCTCCCCTGGAAAACACAAGGTTAGGTTCCTGAAAGCCACTGGTCACACATTTTCGTCAAATAGTCAATAGCTAACCTTGTTGGGTGTGTGCTTCTGTTTAAAGATGCCGTGTTTAATAACCATTGCGGACTCATTGACATTGGACCTGAGGCTCACACCCCATAACCCAGGCCTGACCAAAACTTCTCTAACACAGAGGTTTCAACGTGGATTTCTCTGAACACAAGTGATGTTGAACATTCTTTTATCTCCTTATTGACCATTCACATGTATTCTTGTAAAGTGGTTGTTCAAGCCTTTTTCTTGCTTTTTATTGTTGTTTAGTTGCAGGGATTCTTTTTATAGTCTCAATATATATCCCCTGACAGATACATATTTTGGAAATATTTTTCCCAATCATTGTTTTGCTCATTCACAAATTTTAATAGTGCATTTTGATGAGAAGTTTTATTAACTTTTATGAAGTCTAATATACTTCTTTTTTAATGACTGTGATTTCTGGGTCCTGTGTAAGAAATGTTTATCCTTGGGTTTGTGAAAATATCCTCTTATATTTTCTGCTATAAGTTTTATGTTTTCATTTTCGTTGTTAAATATAAGATCCACCTTGAATTAAGTTTTGTGTACCGTGTGACTTGGGGGTTGTGTTTTCTATTTTAACATATGATGTGGGGTAGTGCTCAGGATGGTTTTGTTTTTTTGTATTTATTAAGGAGACTTCGTTTAACCATTTAATTGCTTTGATGTTGCATTTAAAAGTTAGTTTGCCAGCCAAGAGCAGTGGCTCACGCCTGTAATCCCAGCACTTTGGGAGGCTAAGGCAGGTGGATCACTGAGGTCAGGAGTTCGGGACCAGCCTGGCCAACATGGGGAAACCCTGTCTCTACTAAAAATACAAAACAATTAGATGGGCATGGTGGTGCGCCACTGTAATCCCAGGTACTCTGGAGGCTGGGGCAGGAGAATTGCTTGAACCTAGGAGGCGGAGGTTGCGGTGAGCCGAGATCGCACTACTGCACTCCAGCCTGCGTGACAAGGGTGAAATTCCATCTTAAAAGAAAAAAAAATCAGTTTGCCATCATGAATGGGAAGCTCTAGGGCCTGTCATTTTGTGTCCCCATCTCAATGTGTCTCTCCCAAGGCCACCCTGCAGCCCGCAGAAGCTGCCCTGTGCGATGGCTATGAGAAGGTGGGAGGCAGGTGCTGGTCAGAGGCTCCCAAGGGCAGCTTGGCTGTGACAAACACCCTGCTATCTCCTGCTGTTTTGCCAGTACCACCCACCTCTTCACCTGTGTGGCTGGGCTGACCCTGCCTTCAAGGAACACTTGGCTGAGCTCATCCCTGACTTGAACATGGACTTTGCATGCTACTACACTTTGACCACCAGCCTGACAGTGGCAAGAGAGGAAGATTGAGGCCCAGGCAGAGGTTTAGGGACCCCTGGCTTCTCGTGCACCACCAGCACCATTGGTAAGTAGATCGTTAAGTGGTGGGAACTAAACATTCCATTGACAGCATTAGTGTTGATCTATGTGTAGAACTATGAGGATTCACCTTTCCTATCTATAGACCAATATTCGGTTTCTTGATTGCTGCAGCCTTAGGTCTTGGTGTTAGGTATTACAGGTCCTCCAGCCTTGTACTTAATTTTCAAGATCAATTTGACTATTCTAGATCCTTCGCAAGTCCATAAGTTTAAGAGATGACTATCAACTTTCACCAAAAGCCACCTACATTATTATTGGGATAGCAGAGAATGTAGAATAGTTTGGGAACAGTTTACATTTTAACAATTTTGATTTTTTAAATCCATATGCTTAACATGTCTATTTATTCAGGACTTCCTTAATTTCCTTCAGGAATCTTTTGTAGTTTTTAGAGAATATTTGTACTAGTCTGTTTACATGCTGCTGATAAAAGCATACCCAAGACTGGACAATTTACAAAAGAAAAGAGGTTTAATGGACTTACAGCTCCACCTGGCTGGGGAGGCCTCACAATCATGGCAGAAGGCAAGGAGGAGCAAGTTACATCTTACATGGATGGCAGCAGGCAAAAAGAGAGTTTGTGCAGGGGAACTCCCATTTTTAAAACCATTAAATCTCATGAGACTCATTGACTATCACAAGAACAGCACAGGAAAGACCCACCCCCATAACTCAATCACCTCCCACCAGGTTCCTCCCACAACATGTGGGAACCATGGGAGTTAAAGTTCAAGATGAGATTTGGGTGAGGACACAACCAAACCATATCAATAGTTCTTATGCTTCTTTGATAAATTTGTTTCTCAAAGTAGTATGTGTTCTAATGGTTATTGAAGATGGAATTATTTAATTGCCTTTCCATAGTTTGCTGCTAGCATATAAAATTCAGTGGATTTTTATATGTCAACTTAGTGTCCTTTGTACTAAATTCATTACTAGATTCAGTAGAATTCTTTATTGTAAATTACTTAGGATTTTTCTACACTTGTGTTGTGAATAAGCACAGTTTAACCTCTCTCTCATATCTATATCTTGATTTCTTTTTCATGCCTTATTGCACTAGCTAGGAATTCAAGTACAAAGTTTAATAGAAATAACAAGAGTGGATACACTTGCCATGTTCCTGGCCTTGTGGAAAATGTTCAGTATTATACTCTTAACTGTGATGTTTGCTATTGACTTTTCCATAGGTTCACCTCCTTGAATCAAGCAAGTAGCCTTGAATTCTCAGTTTGCTGCATTTTAGTATCAGCAATATGCTATCCTTATAAATTGAGTGAGAAAATGTTCTTTTCCCCTCTATTTTCTGAAGGATTTGGGGGTAAGATTGGAATTATTTATTTTGTTAATGTTACACAAAATTTAGTGTGACTAAGTGTCAAGAATTTCTTTTTTTAATGAAGATGTTTTTTATAACAAATTAGAATTGCTTAATAAATGTCATACTCAGATTTCATATTTCATTTCCATCCATATTGGCAAATCGTGTTTTGAGGAAGTTGTCCATTTAATCTAGCTATTTTATTGGTATGAAGTTGATTCATAATATTTCCTTATTGCCTTTCTGATGTTATCAGGATGTGTGGTGATTTTTTTTTTCATTACTGCTATTGGAAGTGTGTATTTTTCTCTTTTTTCTTGATGGGTTCTTTTAGGAGCTTATCAACTTAATTACTGTTTTTCAAAGAACCAGCTTACAGGAAAAGCAGGTGTGATTGAACCGCCACACTCCTCATTTTTTTATTTTCTCCTTGCTCCTTCTTCATGGAGGCTTTATTTTCTCAAGTCTATTTTCTTTGACTTACCAGCTGCCATGGCTTCCATGGGCTCTGACACCACATATTTCCAGGTTCCTAACAGAGAGAGGCTCTTCCCTCCTCACACCCTCTTCCACTGCTCAAGCCAAAAGTAAAGAAAAAGAAGATAAAGAAAACACTTGGGGAAAGATTCTGAGTCCTTTCCTTTGTGTGTCCATGGGTCACGTGGACACGTGTGAATGAACGTGCATCACTGCACTCCACTCCCATGATTCCAGCCCTTTCCCACGATGGGCTCATCTGCCTCATCCCATCAACTCCAGGCTGCCCATGTTACTTGCTTTGGTCAATGAGAGGAGACTGGAAGTGATGTTGATCATGGCTGAGCAGGAGCTTTGAAAGCCATCTCATGGTTCAGTCACTGTTCTTTTCCTTCTACTTTGAGCACAGCAAAGCCCTAGATGAAGGTTGTCATCACCCTGGATTTGAGGATGAGGAGGACCTTGTGGAGCAAGGCCACAGCTGATAGGCAATGGTATTGGAAATGAGCCTTTGCTGTTGTAAGCCTTTCAGATGCCAGGAGTATTTGTTACTGCAGCAGCACCTGGCAGGTGATGACTAATACAGTTGGTTATGGGCCTGGTCCAAGTGTATATGCTTCAAACCCTCATGGCTCCTAAGAATTTTTCATTCAGGGGGCAAATCAGAATTAGAAAAATTGGAGGTGGGAAGGAATATATTCCCTAGCATAGAAGGAGTACAAGAAAAGCATTTTGAGGTGGATCTTGTCTTTGTGTTGATATCAGCCAACCACTCTTCTACTGAAACATTTTCTATGGCTTCTTTACAAAATAAAATTCAAATCTCCATGCTTCCATTAAAAGCCTTTCAATAACTCCCCCAGAATGACTTCCTCAGAACCCCTGAAACAAAGTAGACTATTCCCTTCCTTCTGCCTTTCAGCCTGAAATCTCTCTCCTGCTTCCAAACATACAAATCTGCAACATGAAGCAAAGCCATTTTTCTATTTCAAGGTTATTAGATACTCAAAAATTGTTTACTGGATTAATGAAAACTCACCTGCTAAATGAAGAATTCTCAGAATGCCCCAGCCTTATCTGCTCTTAATTCATATTTATATATATATATATATGTATACACATACACATATACATATACACATATATACGTATTTTCTATATATATGAAAATATATATGTGCATTTTCATATACATATATGTAAATGCATGTATATGTATATGTGTGTGTATGTATATATCAAAATTAGCAGAACTTGTTATAAGACTATATGAATTACTAGTTAACTTTTCATACCTTGGCATCTATTCCTTTGATACTACACAGTTGAAGAATTATGATGTACACATTTCCTGCAGAATATCTTGTGTGTGCCTTATCTGTGGCAGGTATTCAGATATTTTTTGATCGGCTATGATTCTTTCCTTTACTCATTCAGATTTACATGATTGATAACTCAATCTTGGTAACTGAAAATTCTCAGAAATCTTTTTCACTTTTCTAGCCCAAAGTGAATTTTTTGTGTCTTATTTTAAAACTTTATTTCCACGAACATGTGTGTATGCACTTAGAGTTTTTTAAACTACCTTAGCAATTTACTTACTAAAATATAGGTAGATATACTTATCAAAGTGCTGAATGAACTCTAACCATTCATTCCGATACAGCAGGTTACACCAAAAAAATAAAATAAATATTTTCCTTTACACTTTCTATTTTAGATTCAGCATTTCAATTTTCAATTTATTTTTGCCAGGTAAAGCACAGTAATTATTATGTTTTTCAAACATATTCTCTAAACATGACTGTGTTCCTTCTGTTCATTTGTGTGGACTTTTTCTCTTCTGTTTTTAATAATTAATTATCTTGGCATATCATAAAATTTTCTTTCCTAAATTATTCTAAGGCCAGTTTTGCTGGCACAGTTCCACAGGTCTATTCTGGGAGTTCAGCACCTGGGCATCTGGCTGCCCGCTGACTGTCCCACAGCAGCCTTTGCAGGGGGCTGTCTTCACAAACCAGTTGATTCATCTGCACACCGCATCCCCTTTTATTCAATACTTAGCAATAGATTTTTTCTTACATTTTCTTGCTCCATTTTTTTATGAAGCAAAGCAAGGTTGTTTCTGACGACTTAGAGGATGCTTTTGCTGATAAAAGAAAGGCAGGAGGAAGACCTCCCTGAGCCTGCAAGACCAGACCGGCGCTCTCCAGCGACCCCCTGTGGCCACACGGGACAAAGTCTGTCTCTCTGGCGTCATTTGTTACAGTTACTGGGGGGTGTGTGTGTGTGTGTGTGTGTGTGTGTGTGTGTGTGTGTGTGTGTGTGTGTGTTCGGGAGAAAACAGGGTTCTGGTTAGTTGCATTAGCCTGAAAATACGGCACTTGAAGCATTGATAAGCATTGATAGTACTGCACCTTCCTAGAACCCAGCAATAGAGACCTGCAGGCGTGAGTCTCAGGATGGCCTTAGAGTCGAGGGTGTGGCCAGCAGGCTCCGTCTTATGTGAGTGAGGCCGTGAGCTCTACTGGGGAAGCACATTTGTGACCAAGAGAAGAAAGAACTCCCTGGTATTATTCCAAGAACAAAGGAGAGGAAAGTATGTTTTACATAATGAGAACTAATTTATTACGAAATGCTGGTAAAAAGACAAAGCCTATTACAGGTAGCCACAGGCCTGGAGCTGCAGAGGTGATTTCTCTACATTCCAGTGGGACCTTTGGTTCCGGTGTTTCCCTGTCGTGTTGTTTTCAGCTGTGGGGTTTGTTTTGCTCCCTCCCTCTCCTCACACACTGGCATCTGAGCAAACTGGAGGCCTGCAGCGTCCTCGCCCCATGCCAGGTTCTCCCAAGCAGGGCAGCACCTGTGGGAAGGAACCCAGTGTAACGGCCCTTCCCCAGAGGCCCAGCGCTGAAGAGTGTGGGGTGAGGGAAAGAGAGGGCAGGAAGAGCTACAGAGAGAGGGGCCTTTGCTTCTCTCCAGCTACTCAGGGCTTCCAGAGAAATCTGTTTCAGAGGTAAAAGATGGATTCATCTCCCTCTTCCAAGAGTGAGGAGAAGTGGGAACTCGGAGAGTGGGGCAGCTTCTGTGCAAGGTGTCTCCACCCCAAGCCCCCCAGGTGACCCAAAGTGTGCTCTGCAGCTGCCCAAGGCCGTCCCTCACTTTCCAGCCGGTCCTGACAGCTCAGCCACTTGGCCTGAGCGGCTGGCTGGAGCTCAGCACAGACAAGCAGGACTTGAATGATTGCTCTCCGGCCGCACAACAATCCTATTGTTCTGAGCCCCGTGTCTGGCAAAATGCAGTGGAGCCGTAATTGCCGCTGCTTCCTGCACCCTGCAGCACAGCGAGCGGGGGTCAGCATCAGCCACAGGGCCTTCGCCCGGCGCTCAAAGAGCTCCTGTCTCCTCTCGTGCTCAGCTGATAAAATGCTAAATAGCATCAATGCTGACCATGCTTCTGCGACACAGAAAAGACTAAATCGCTTTACACTGCGACTTTGTTTCTCACAGGGAAGTGGAGCTGAGATGGATCACCTTGCGCATGCTCTCCCAACAAACAGAGACGTTTAAAATATCACAAAATCATTTATCTTCTGTAAAAGAGCCCGAGTCCAGCCAATTTACCTTATGATTCATTTCAAGAGACACAGATGATACAAGAAATCACAACAAAAAAAAAACTTCAGTCACCATTCTTATGAGGGGAAATAATTGGAAACTATATCAGAATACGTTGACTTTGACACATGTAGAAATGTACATAGATGGGCCTTTTGGGTTTGATCTTAGTTTGTTGCAGCCTTCATGACCGAGATAGGCAAAATCCTTGTATAACAAGAAGTCTCTAGCCGGACATCTGAATTTCATTTTTAACATTTTTGTTTTCTAGAGAACATTTTGATAATTGGCAAGGAAAACTAAAACAACAGAAACAAATTAGAAAAAAAAAATATAAACCTAAAGTAATTACTTATGAAACCCAGAGCAAAATTTGTTGAAATTTCTTAAGCTTGAAAATTTGAATTTATAGTACACCTAGAGAGATGTGAAAATTCTCTTTCATTTATTTTTTTCCATGTGCACCAAAAAACTTTTAAAGACAACGTAGATAAAAACAAAGGCATAACATACATAAGAAAAAAAACACTTGGGTTTTGAGCACATGTACTAATAGAGCTTCAAAAATAAGCCATTTCCTCTGAGGCGTGAGGATGATGAAAATTTCTGTCTTGAGTTGTAGAGAAGAGTATTTAGAACAATGTCTTTAATATCCACACCCAGATACAGTGGGTAGCAAACCCCAGGTGAGTGTTTCTCATGATTGTAGAAACTGTAATCTATAACACTCTTAGCAGGAAGTATTTAGACTTAGAGAGATGTGGATTTACTGTTTTTTCTCATAGCCATTTTCAGAAAGCTGCCTCCTTCCTGGGTCCTCTGAGACATCAGGTTGAGCAGTATTGTGGCTGTCATCATGAACCTTGTCATCAGGGACAGGCTCCAGTGTGTTTGAAATCACAGCCAGGAGACAGATAGATTCAAGCCACCTGCGGAGGAGGGTGAGCCTCTCTTTTTAACCATCTATGTCCCAAGGGGAAGCTTGATGACACCATATCTTCCCAAGTTTGCTTGATGGACAGTCTAAATAAATACAGTTGTTTCTCTTTTATATCAATAATTTGAACATCCCCCCATGCCTCCAAACACACAAATACTTTGCAGCCCAGTTGCACAGACAGGGTGTACAGAAAGAACTTATCCCTCCCACCCTACCCTGCCTACTTCTGTGGACCATGGACAGCACTGCTCGCACTTAACACATTCTCACAGGTGCCTTCACTCCTCACTTTGTCTTGAAGGCCATTGCCTCAAGTCAATCATTTCTTACCAATTTCCCCAATGCTTTGGAGAATACCTAGCTCTAAGGCTTGCTAACTACAGATCTGGCCAATGAATGAATGCGTGAATGAGTGAGTAATCCTATGGGAGGAAGACCACGACAGCAGTGTTTTTCTGCCATGGTCACTATTATTGCCCATATTTGAAAGGATAATTTCTGCTATTCCTTGTGTTCACATCATAACTCTTAGATGAGACCCTCATTAGGAGTGTGGTCAATTCCAAAAAGCTTAAATAATGAGAATGTACTTGCAATTGTTATCCTAGCTATTTAATAAGCAATTGAAGTTGAAGAATAGCATTATTAGGGTATTTCAGCTGATTGCAAGAGAAAATAACATTAAACTGCTAGTCAGCTTTCCTGCATGAGTATGCTCAATTCCTAGTGCACTTCCCTTTCTTACTTGATAAGTACGTGCCCTTCAGCTCTTGTTGAGAAATAAATTGCCCTACCTAGCTAGAGCAAAATGCTCTGCTAAACCTTCCAACGTAGATGGTGCAGAACACTGGTCCCCAGCATTCCTGTGTGTGTGGAGCAGAGTAGTGTCCCCATCCTTCCTGTGTGGATGGTGCAGAGTGGTGTTCCCAAACTTCCAGTGTGACAGAGCAAAGCAGTGCCCCCAGCCTTCCTGTGTGATGGAGCAGAGCTGTGTCCCTAGCCTTCCTGTGTGAATGGTGCAGAGCTGTGTCCCCAACCTTCCTGTGTGATGGAGCAGAGCAGGGGTCCCCAACATTTCTGCATACATGGAGCAGAGCTGTGTCCCCAGCCTTCCTGTGTGATGGAGCAGAGTGGTGTCTCCAACCTTACTGTGTGTGTGGAGCAGAGTAGTGTCCCCAACCTTCCTCTTTGCATGGAGCAGAGCAGTGGTGATTAAACTTGGCTGTGGGTTCAGGTTGCCTGTGGAGCTTTAAAAGGTGCTAATATTTGGATTCCAATCTCAGAGGCAGTTGGGAGTCCTTGGATTGCTTTTCAATGTCTCGACTTTCCCCCAACTTTTCTAATAAATAAATAAAGTTGAGAATCACTGATGATAAGATGGAATTGACTCTGTACTGACACTATGAAATTCTCTCAAACATTTTTATTTTAGTATATTTGGTACCTATTTTTTGTCATTTTTTTGTGGGTTCTCATAGCTAAGTACTGAAAATTGTTGTATCTAGCTGAAGGGCATTTTGTTTTGAGCTCCTTTAAAATGAAATTGAGATGGAATAAATCAATGAACTGTATTAAGCTGTACCAGGCATCTATTTTTGAGTAGCTCATGTAATCTACCAGCAATCAAGATAATTAGTATTACATAATTTATCAAAATATGTGCCTAATTTAGCAATACTTTACTATTCAAAGAGACTCTATGTCCAGTAATATAAAATAATATGCCTCACCTAAGCAGAATGATTCTCATTATAAGGAAAGCTTAGAGAATTTTGTCCCTTGTCGTAAAACATGAGCATGTGGTAAAATGTCCATTTCCACTGATATATCTATGGATCCTTATACTTTTTGCACATATTTTTCCTTCTCTCTAATACCTCTAAAACCACAGATCTTTCGTCTAAATTTTTAATTTTGTAATTAGTAGCTTTTTGTTAATCTCCACCACTCAGTTTTTCTGTAAACCAAATTCTTGCTAAATCAATTCTTTCTTCCTCACTTTCCTGTTAATATCTTGAATGAATATGGTGCATTTTCAATTGACAAACCTACATTGGGACATCATTATCACCCAGAGCCTGTAGCTGACATTAGGGTTTACTCTTGCTATACATTTTATGTGTTTTGACAAATCTATAACAAGACATATCCACATTATTAGAGCATCACACAGAGCAGTTTCCCTGCCCTAAATATCTTCTGTGCTCCTCCTGTTCATCCCTTCCTCTTCCAAGCTCTGACAGCCACTGATCTTTTTACTGCCTCTGTAGTTTTTCCTTTTCCAGAATGTCATAGAGTTGGAATTGTACAGTATGCAACTTTCTCGGATTGGCTTCTTTCACTTAAGATGCAGTTAAGATTCCTTCCTCCATATCTTTTCTTGGTCTGATATATTATTTTTTATCACTGGATAGTATTTCACTTATGGATGTACCTGTTTGGTTATCCATTCACCTAGTGAAAAATATCTTGGTTATATCCAAGTTTTGGCAACTATGAATAAAGTTCCTGTAAATACTTGTGTGCAGGTTTTGTGTAGACTTATGTTTTGACTAATTTTGGTAAATATCAAGGAGCATGATTGCTTCATGTTATATTAAGTGTATGTTTAGTTTTGCATGAAACTGCCAAATTGGCTTCCACAGTGGCTGTGCTATTTTGCATTTCCATCAGCAGTGAATGAGAGTTCCTGTTGCTCCACATTCTCACCAACATCTGATGACGTCAGTGTTTTGGATTTTGATCATTCTAATAAGTGTGTCGTAATATCTTATTATTGTTTTAATTTGCAATTTCCTAATGACATATGATGCTGAATATCTTTACATGTCTTTACTTGCTATCTGTATATCATGTTTGTTAGATGCCTCTTCAGATATTTTGCACACTTTTTAATATAGGCTTTTTTATAATTGTGGAATTTTTTTTTTTTTTTTTTTTTTTTTTTTTTTTTTTTTTTGAGACGGAGTCTCGCTCTGTCGCCCAGGCTGGAGTGCAGTGGCGCGATCTCGGCTCACTGCAAGCTCCGCCTCCCGGGTTCACGCCATTCTCCTGCCTCAGCCTCCCGAGTAGCTGGGACTACAGGCACCCGCCACCACGCCCGGCTAATTTTTTGTATTTTTAGTAGAGACGGGGTTTCACCGTGTTAGCCAGGATGGTCTCGATCTCCTGACCTCGTGATCCGCCCGCCTCGGCTTTAAGAGTGCTTTGTATGTATATTTTAGATACCAGTCGTTTATAAGATATGTCTTTTGTAAATATTTTATCTCAGTCACACGCTTGTCTTCTTCACTTTTGAAGGATGATTTTGCTGGACACAGAATTTTACATTTGTATTTCTTTTTTTTCTTGTAATACTTTAAATATTTCACTCCACTCTCTTCTTGCTTGCATGGTTTCTGAAGAGAAGTCTAACATAATTCTTATCCTAGTTCCTCTAGAGGCAAGGTGTTTCTTTTCCACCCCTCTCTCTCTTTTAAAGGACTTCTTTTAAAACTCCCTTTCCTTTGATCTTCTACAGTCTAAACATGACAGGCTTAGGTGTAGATTTTTTTGGTATTTATCCTTCCTGGTGTTCTCTGAGCTTCTGGGATCTATGGTTTGATATCTATCATTAGTTGTGGAATAATTTTCAGTCATTTTTACTACAAATACTTCTTTTTATCTACTTTCTTTCTGGCATTTCTCATTACAATTTTTATAATTGTCCCACAGGTCTTGCATCGGCTGGTGTGTCTTTTTTCCTTCCTCTTTCTCTCTGCATTTCACTTCCAGATGTTTCTCTTAACATTTCTTTGGGCTTACTAATTCTTTCCTCAGCCCTGTCTGGTTTACTGAATGGCCCATAAATTCATTTCTGTTACAGTTTTTGTTTCCAGCATTTCCTTTTTATTCTTTCTTAGTGTTTTCATCTCTCTGCTTACATTACCCATCTGTCCTTGTAGGTTATCTACTTTTTCCATTAAAGCCCTTGCACATTCATCATAGCTGTTCTAAGTTCCCAGTCTCATAACTCCAACATCTCTGCCATACCTGAGTATGGTTGTGATTCTGATTCTGCCTCTTCCAATTATGTTTTATTGACTTTAGGGTGCCTTGTAATTTTGTGTTGAAAATCAGATATGATGTGCTGGGTAAAAGGGATAGCAGCGAATAGACCTTCAGTGTGAGGTCTGATATTTGTCTAGCTACGAGTTAGGTCACATTTCCTGCTTGCCATAGCTAGCTGATGTCCTGTGTTTTTGTTTCTCTTGTTGTCTTTGGGTTTCCCTGGAGACATCTTCTTAAATAGGTCTGAGACAAACAGTTCTGTCAGTCTTTTTCTTCTGCTGTTATACAAGAGACTTGTTGAAGTGGTGGTGAGGAGTTAGGAGGGGGACAAGTCCCAGAGTCCTATGATTAGGTCTTGGTCTTTAGTGAGCCTGTGTCCCCTGGCCTGTGACCTTCACAGATGTGTTTGCATTGTTTGATTTTTATTTGTTTGTTTTACTCGCCCTTGGATCAGCCATGTTCAAACCTTTGAATGCAATGACTTTTTTTGCCTATCTGTGGTGGCAGATATCATGAAAATTATGCATTGACTTTTATTTAAGCTCATCAGCTGTCACTAGTGTATTTTGTGTGGCCCAAGACAACACGCCTTAGATGGTTCAGAAAGGTCAGGGTGGAGATTTGGCATTTCCCCTCTCCTAGGTGGGTTAGACCCAGATAAAACCCCAGTAGGTTGGACTTTGATAAAACCACTTCTCTCAAGAGCAGGCTTTTCTAAGGTGAAATAAATGCCCTAGCCTATTTCAAAAAGACCCACTTTCACCTTCTCCTCCCACTGCTAGAGGCAGGAGGAGCCTTTTCTCTGACCTTCTCTGTGAGAACTGGTTGAGTTCCTGGAGGTAACACTTGGAAATGTATGCCCTCCCCGCTGTCTGTGACTGAGTCCTCCAGAGCTTTTGTGCCTCTGACTCCTCTGCACTGAGCGCGCAGCCACACCTCAATCGCAGCTTAGGTTTTCTGCTGGCACTTGTTCCCACAGAAGTGTCTCCTCCTGGACAGCTGCTCTGCTAAGTTGGTTCTCTATCCACACACCTGCCTCCACAACTTTTAGGGTACTAGTTTTCCCTGTGACCTCACTTCTCAGAAGAATCTAGGAAGAGTTGTTGACTTTCAGGGATTTTTTAAAGTTTTTCCTAAGGAAGAGGGAAAGACTTTCAAGACCCTTATACACTGAGCTGAAAATCAAAAGTCCTATCATTCAAACAGAAAATCAATATTGTTTGCTCTGTTACCAGGGATCCAATCCTAATTCTAATTTCTGAAAACAAAGGGGTTTTAAAATAATAACCACCTATGATTTTTCTGTTTCACATGGGCGGAGAGAGCAGAAAACCCTGTGATCAACAAATGAAGCAAGACGTCCACTGTCCATGACTGAAACAAGCTGAAGCCACCTGGTTGGAAAGGAAATGAAATGAAGCTTGGTAAAAGAGGTTTCACTTTAATTTTGGTAGAAAACTGGATAAAACATTTCTAAACAAGATTATCAGATAGAGCTTCTTAAATGACTTGCTTAGTGTTAGATGAGAAACGCTTCATGGCCCCAGAGGCCATGAACAGCAAGGGGTTCCCACTCTGCTTCCCATACAGTGGCTCAGCCACAGAGAATTAAGTCATCAGCCTTCAACATGCACATTCATTTGAAGAGGAGCCTCTGCGGCTATGAAAGCTTTGGAAATTCATTATTACAGTTGATCATTCGAGGCTTCCTTTCATCCTATAAAATCCATGCAATGCTATGAGGAAGATCAAATTATTTAGAGAAAAGTGAGAGAAACAAAAGCTCACTTAAGAGTCTAAATCCAAGTTCCCTTTAGAATTGTGTCCGAGGTAGGCTGTGCTGATAAATCTGGGCGGTCCTTTCCCCAACTCTGGGTGGCTTTACTTGAACTTACTCACCTGGATGAACCAGAAAATCCTTTTGAGTCCTTCCTCAGGAAACTGGGGCTGACTCAGTCAGCTGGCCCCATGTGGGCACCTGGAGGACACGCCCATCCCTCACCACCTTACCCTCCAGAGTTCAGATCCTGCAGCTTTGCAGGGGAAAATAACATGTGAGCCGGAGGTGGAAGCACTCACGTACACGTCACGTGATTCATATGACACTCGTGTACACATCACGCAATCCATGTGACACTCGCATACACATCACGCGATCCATGTGACACTCGCATACACATCACGCGATCCATGTGACACTCGCATACACATCACGCGATCCATGTGACACTCGCATACACGTCACGCAATCCATGTGACACATACACATCAGGCGATCCATGTGACAGTCACGTTCATGTCACGCAATCCATGTGACACGTACACATCAGGCGATTCATGTGACACTCGCATACACGTCACGCGATTCATGTGACACTTGCGTACACGTCAGGTGATTCATGTGACACTCGTGTACACGTCAGGCGATTCATGTGACACTCGCATACATGTCACGTGATTCATGTGACACTTGACCTGGACCTCCTGGGCTCAAGTGATCCTCCTGCCTTAGCTTCCTGAGAAGCTGGGACTACAAGTTTGTACCACCAGGCCCACCTAATTTTTTTTTTCATTTCTTGTAGAGGTGGGGTTTCACTATGTTGCCTGGGGTTGTCTTGACTCCTGGGCTCTAGCAATCCTCCTGCCTCAGCCTCCCAAAGTGCCCAGCTAGAAAATATTCTTTTAAGAAAATTGAAATACATGTACAAATGATACAAATCATGAAAACTTACACATCAAAATTATTAAAGTCCAACACTAAAATTACTGAAATATTATTGTACATGTAGGTTGCAGATATAAGATTAGATTTTTTCAAACGGCATCTTTCAATTTTCCCTTTTTTAAAAGAAAGATCATATTAGCATATTTCCTTTATTTATCAGAAACTGTTTCCTGGATACGAAAGAAATTGAAAACATTTTAATAACAGCCCAAAGTGATTTTTCCCTTCCCATCGTTTTGTAGGAGAGCCTGGGATTAATTATTGCTTTAATGACCAGCCTCTGGACTCCCGGCCAAGAGGAGGAGTGTCTTCAGGGCTGTCAGATCCGCCAGGAGGTGGTCACTGACACTGTGGGTCAGCTGGTGACACCCAGAACAGATTGCAGTGCAGAGCAGATGCAGGCTGCATGCTTGCCCTCCGCGCCCAGCGGGCTCCACTGCCACCAGCAATTATGGAGAACAACAGCACAGACCTGCCCCAGAGGCTACACAGACACAAACACACTGCTGCCCTGCCATGCCCTCCACTGCCATCTGTGAGCACTCACACAGCCCCACCTTCACAGGCACCCACCCAGCACACTGCTGCCCTGCCATGCCTCCCACCATTACCTGTGAGCTCTCACACTCCCACCTTCCCAGGCACCCACACACTGCTGCCCCGCCATGCCCTGCACTGCCATCTGAGTGCTCTCACAGCCCCACCTCCACTAGGTCCAGCACTGACCATGTGTCACATCCATTGATTGCACTGGAACTGCAATCTACATGGATCACTGCCACTGTCCTGGAAATCGGATCTCCCTCTGATGTGTTGGCAGCTGTGGAGGACCAGGAGGAAAACCAAGGTGACTTTCCACAGCCCTGCGTCCCTTTCACCCACAGCCAGGCTGCTCCAGGCTTCATGGACGCCTCGGTGCCATGACTCTGGGATGCCACCTCAGACAGTTGGATTCCAGCAAAGCTTTGAAGCATCAGTGTGGAAACTGCTGTGTGCAGTGATCATATTAACCTAAGTATTGCAGGGAAACCAATGTCCCAGTCCGACAGGCTATCAGTGACACTCTACTGATGTTTGTGAGTGCCTGGGAACATGGCATTTCACATAAGCAACCTCGCCTGATCCTCACAACACCGTGAGATGAATATTTATGTGGACACCCCACAGATGAGGACAGCACAGCTGTCATGTAGGTAACAGGTGACTCAACTAAGCTTGGGCTGAGGTCTGCTTGGCTCCAAACCCACTCCCTCCCTGTGGTCAGTGTCTACACACCCCTGCGTGCACGGCTCAGAGGGACCCACTCTCCTATTCCACCTGCTTCATGTTTTCCTTGTACTTATTCATTTCTCTTGGAATGTGTTTTAGTCTCCATCTTTCTGCATTCTTTCTTCTTCAAAGACTGCAATGGTCTCTCCCATGACTTTTCCCAAATATATTTTAACAATATTTTGTGGTGAACCAAAGATCTATGAAAATAGAGACCTGCACTAAGAAAGTTAGTTGTATTCTCTAAAGCCCCACCCCATCCCAGTGTAAAATCTAACAAAATAAAATATGTCCATTTAGTTAATATCTGTAGTTAGACAGTATAAGGAGAAAACCCACCCACAGGCACATGTATAATACATTCCCAAGGTGCACTCCAGGTGTGAAAATAGACCCTCAACACTGCTGTCTAAAGCAATGGCGTGAGTTCCCTGCATTTTTTTTATTTTTCTGCCATGATATAACAAATATCTGCACAGCACTCTGTGTGCCCAGCAGTGTTCTGAGCCTCACAAATGCTGACATTCTTCAACCACATAACAACCCGGTGCCTTCTGCAGATCGGGGACGTGAAGCCACAGCCCATGTGGCTGGTAGGGCCAAAACTGGGAGTCCAGCGGCTCTGCCCTCTGGGCAACGACCGCGGTGCTGGGACCCTTCCTGGGGCTGAAGGGCACGAGCCCGTCTGCTGCCTGCGGACATGAAGGGTGCTCTGCAAGACAACAGCTGGCTCGAGTTATTTTCCTGTACCTGCACTCACAGATTTCCACTGTTCCGATAACTCTTACAAGTGTTAACTGGTTTAATCTTCACCAAAATGTCTGGAGGAAGTAATGCTTCCCCTGGCACAGGCCAGGCCAGGGTTGGAGCTCATCAGTGGGAGCTTTCCCCAGGGACAGGGTTTCGAAGTCATGGATGGCCGTATAAATAATTTTTCTGAGCACTGGAAATATGAAAAAGGAAGCATGGAAGTGGAAAACTGGCTTCATTTTCAGAAAATGTTAGTGGAACCCCAATGTCTCTAGGACAATTATCAAGATGAAAACCCAGAATTATGACCAAAATTGCTTGGGTGAGGCTGAGAAGAGCAGCTTCGCGGGAAGGAGACATGGATGAATTTCATTTCCCTCTTTTCCTCCCCGCCAGGAGCAAGACCCCGTGAACTTATCTGCCATGGCTGCAGGGGTGCCTCCGCTTTGCCATCCACCCTGGGAACACAGCTGATGGACTCTGCTCTCGGCCACTGTCCTGGAGGGACCCCTTCCTCTGCCTCCTGTTCAGGTTCCTTATTTCTTTCGCAATTGTGGCAGAAGGTGCTGCTGTTTTTCACAGACATGAGTGGGACAGGGTTTCTCTCCTAATATTTATTTGCCCTCAGAGCAAGGGCTGTTCTGCATGGACCCAGGATTTTGAGGAATAAGAGGATGTCACTGCGTTTTGGGGGATTTGGCTGTCTGGCCAGCCTTTGAGTACCGAGTGGATACAATAGTAGCAAAGTGAGGTCCTTCATCACCTGCTGTTTGCACACATCCATTCTAGTTCAGCAACATTTTCTGCTCGTGTGAGCAGTTACCTTTCATGAAGCCCACGCTCATTCTGTTAAGGGATAATATTACGTGGTTTTGACCCTCAGGGTAGCCACACATCCCCTCTGCGATTGTCCATTTTACTCATTTGTTGACTCAAAAAAATGAGACAGGTGGCAGGGCCTGCATCGGGGACTTCTCAGTGACCCTCACCTGGATCCCAGTCAGGCTGGGGTCTCGGGGAAGCAGAAACCCAAGGCTGCCCAGCTCCCCAGGCTTCATCCTTGCTTGGAACCCAATAAGAGTTTCCCTTGCTCTTCCTCTCCCTGCTGGAACCAAATGTACGGAATTAAAATCTAGGGTTTTTAAATTAATGCTATCAATGGCCGGAGATGCCAGTTCAAGCATCAAAACCACGTGACAAGCAGCCGTCCACTCAGGCCTCTGCATGTGGTCCCCGAAGGCCAAGACCAGGGAGAGAGCCGGAAAATGAAGAATTGGAGTCTCACAGATGGGCACCACCTGCGCCTCAGATATCGAGAGAAAGGAGGAAGCCGGAGGAGGAAATGAAGTGTTTAGACTTTAAACATCAGAGTGGAAAATTGAAATAAATTCATTACATCAGCCTACCCTAGTTTAAATAACAGAAATGTATTCTCGACAAGCTTTCATCCTTTCCTTTCAATTTATTACATTGATTAACACCCCAAACCATTAATTCCATCTGTGTTTTGTTTTCCTCCTCTCTTCCTGCTGTCACACAGTGCTCTGGGGATATGACATCGTTCGTTTTGAAAATCACTGGTTCAAAGAGAAGATTTGGAAAGTGTGAAAAAAATAACTCTTTGAACCATACTCGTTTAAGACACAAAGAAACACCGAGGGTAGGCCATGCATTAATGTAGCTTTAAATAATGGTAATTTTTATGATTCCATAAAATATTAAGGTTTCCCATTTCAGAAACTAGCAACCAAGGGCATTGTCAATGTAAATGTAAGTAATTGAACCTATCTAGAATATTGAAGAGGATTATTTCAGGCCATTATTTCTCATATCCTGCACAAATATTTAGTAGTAAAATACCATACTTTACTCTATCCAAAGGCCACGGATATCATAAAACAACTGATCAGCACATTCTCCCTGCAGCTGGTAGAGCCATCTCACAAACGACCTGGACCTTCAGGAAGAAATGGAATCAGCTGTTACAATTAGCCCTGAGGAAAGATTGATTACTTGAGGTCACCTGCGCTGCATAATAAATGGGCCTGGGAGTCTCCTGGGCTTGTGGGGTGGAAGCCTCCATCCCTGAGTTCCCTTGATCTTAAAGACGATCTTGATTTTCAGTGCTTTCACCTGGGCACAGGTACATTCGTGATTAAAATCAACTGTGTTAAAAGAAGACACATAAACATCTTACGTGACCTTGGCATTTCAGGATCATTCACAAAGAAATTTGCATCCTTTTTCTTTATCTTCATAGCAGTTCTGTGCCATCATTTTCCCTCCTTTTACAGATGATGTTCAGAAAGGGTTATGTCTTCCCCAATGTGTTAGACCCATAGCACCAACAGAAGCAGAATTTGGAGTCTGTTCTTGTGATTATGCATGTAGGATTTTTTTTTCACTTGTATTTTCCAAGCACTGTCTTTTTATTTTATTTTATTTTTTATTATTTTTTTGAGATGGAGTCTCACTCTGTCACCCAGGCTGGAGTGCAGTGGTGCAATCTTGGCTCTCTGCAATGTCTGCCTCCTGGGTTCAAGTGATTCTCATGCCTCAGCCTCCCCAGTAGCTGAGACTACAGGTGTGCACCACCACACCTCGCTAATTTTTGTATTTTTAGGAGTGACGGGGTTTCACCATGTTGGCCAGGATGGTCTCGAACTCCTGACCTCAGGTGATCCACCCGCCTGCTTTACACCAAGTTCATTCAGGAAATTGCTAAGTGTGCATTTGCTGTTCTCAAACCATAAGCATGCCTCCAAGAAAAAGAATGAACAAAGGGAAAAACTACTCTGGTAAAAGTGTAGGATAAAGAGCATTTCATATTCAAGATGCTCCTCTGCATCCTGGGACTTCTCTGCTGCCCCCTCCCCTTCACCAGCCTCCTTCCATGCCCTTTGAAGAGAATGTGAATACACGTGCATGTGGCATAGCAGGTATATTGCACAATATTATTTGGAAATACTTTCAGGTCTCATGCCCAAGTTCTTTGATGTGTGTTATTTAGACTTAAGAGCAACGGCTGAAGATGAAAGAGTAAAAAAGTCCCCTTGTGCTATTTCTTGTAAAAAGTCATAATTGTGTGTCATATGTGATGATAAAGTGAGTCAGCAAACACAAATATCTCCAGAGAATCCTTTATTCTGCTATTTTCCACCTAGTGAAATTGTCTGATGGAGGGAAGGGGATATTAACTAGAATTCTGATTCTAAAGAAACCATGTTTGTTTGTCAGTGTTATTTGTTTCGGGAAACCAATAAGAAATCAAGTCAGCCAACCCTTTAACTATCTGGAAAGACATTGCAATGCATTAAGAACTGAAGTATTGTAAGTCAGTATTGACCATCAGGACTTTGAAGCAAAGAATAGTTGTCCATGTCTTCAGACAGGTCAAGGAGTTGAGAGGAAAACATTCGGGAGTGGGCACAAGATGATCTGAATATGGGTTAAAAGATGCAAGCTGTGTGGTCAGCCGCAGGAAGGATGCCTTAGGTCTCTCTTTTGCAGAAATAAAAGATCAGGGCAGTTATGTGAATCTATGAAATTTCTCATGGCTGTTATTTCGGGAATGTATTGGAACCTTACATTCGGGTCATGGCTCTGCTGCTATCTGGCAACATGACACGAATCCAGACCTCACACTTCACCTTCGTAACCTCAGGGGAAAAATGAGGATGATAAGGTCTTTCTGTCCACATTGTATGTTCATTCTGAGGAAAGAAAAATTCTGATATGTTTATATGTGTGTATATTATGCACACACATAGGCTTACTGAAGCTTTGAGTCACTATTTAATGTATTTTTTGCTTATCTCAAGAAGGCTTGTAGAAGTTCACAAAATCTACCAATTTCAGGCTGCAGGATAAAATACCAGCAGGGCGTAGTGGTAACAACCCCAGACTGTGAAGTTAGGATGTGCTGAATGTGAATCCTGACTAGTAACCCGTGTGACTTCTAGCAAGTTACCTAAGTTGTCTGAGCCTCTGAAATGAATATTGTTTCAGTCCTGCCGCCATCGAGGTCTTGTGCATTAACTGAGAGTCACTATAACATTTAAGCTCAGAACCATACCTTGAGCAGAGCAAGCACTGCCCCAGTGGTAAATATCAGCCTCTGCCCTGCAAGGACACTTGTGTCCCAGGTCAGTGCCCGCACAGCCGCAAAGCCACAGAGAGACGTGGTTTTGCCTCCTGTGGTGCTTGTGATCTATGGAGAGACAGACATTGAAGAAACAAGCAAAATATCACACAGGAGACCTGTAACATTGTAGGACTGATGAGAGCAACAGTGAGTTGGGGGAGCTTTAAGCAACTCCAACAAGAGGACCCTTTCTGGCCTTGATTGAGAAAACTCTTCCTCCTGGCACACACATGCCATTTGGGTGTGGGGACTCACTGCGGAGGCAGCACTGCCCCTTCTATCCAGCCAAGGGCTCCTTTCTATGCCTCACCCGTCTCCCCCCGACCCCTATAGGTTCATGCCGGGCTGCAGTTGGCTTTGTAGCTGCCTGTTCCTCCTTGCAACCTCTCTGCTGGTGCTTTGTTTTGTGGGAAGAGCAGGGACTGAGCATGAAGTAGCTGGGGACACCACAGCGACATCTCCTGATGGGCACCGGGCGAGATTGGCTCCTGCTCCTGAAGCCTCTTCCAACTGCTGCTCATCCCACCACGTTGCAAAGCTGCGCTGAGGCACTGTGGGAAACAGGCAGGAGGTGAGGAGGCTCATCGGGGAATGGCAGCTTACCAGCACTGCTCACTCGCAGCCCTGCTTGCAACAGCAGAGTGAGACGTGCTGGAAACCACGCTGGAGTTAACGCACTTGTCGCTGCGAGCCTCTTCTTTAAAGCCCCTCTGTGATGAGAAACAAAGGCTTTCTCGCCTAGCCGTCGCCCTAGCATCATCTATTATGCATCGTCTTATGCAAAATAAATAAAATACAGAAAACAGCAAGTATCTGTGAAAACAGCATTTTCATAAATTATACAAAAAAGAACCAATTGGAGGAACTTCAAGAAAAAGGTTTGCCAAAATTTCGATCGTAACTTTCAAATTAGGGTCTAAATGAAGTGTTCAAAGACAGTTTTCAGTTTTGTTTCCCCACTCCACCAACATCAGAAGAACATTTAACAGACACGTTACTTTCCGGCCACCATACCTGCCCTTGGAGTGAAACAAGGGTTCATGTATACGAGTCTCCCAGACAGCACGGTTGCTCCGTGTGATGATGGAGCTATTGGGGCCATTAATAAATGCTGACCACCTTGTGGGGGCTGTGTGTGTGTGTGAAGCTCTTCTGAAGCACCTTCCTTCGGTGACTCCACCCCCTGATGGGTTTTCTGCAGATACAGAAATAGGGCAACTCTGGATTAGTGCAGCACATTGTGTGAAGCTCAGAAGTTTCACAGGCAGAGTCCTAGAGCTGTGTTTCTCGATATAGTTTAAGCACTCAAATATCTCGGGTATTGCAGAGAGGAAGTGAGAGAGCTATGTGCCTTCTCAACCCTCGCTGGGAATTATCAGCAGAGCTGAGCTGTGCTGTCATGGGAACAGGGTTGTTGAAGCCAGCCCTGAAGAGGGATGTTGGTTTGATTGTGGTCCTCAGTCTGAGTTGGACTAGAAGGTTCAACATTCTAAAAGGAAAACGCAGAAGCCCTGTCTTTCTGAGGCTTGTCTGCAACATACGCTCATTCCTTCCAAATTATTTGCTGGAAAAAATTTAATAAATAATCATAGAGTAATTAACATGTTCCAGTTCCTGTCTATACTGGTTGATACTGATTCAACGAGTATGAATGAACTTATGAGGTGGGTGACGTTGTTATCCCCAGTTTACAGATGAGGAAACTGAGGCACGGTTTAACTTACCCGAGGTCATAGCAGTAGAGTTAAGATTTGAAATCAAATGTCTTACTCTCTCTCATCAATGAAAACTGAGCTACGATCTATCAGCTCAGCACATAACAACACAGGATCATCCTAATTATTTCCAATGTCCCCCAGAGTGATTCTTTTTTCTTATGATAAAAATTATCTGGAAATTTCTAGGCACATAAGCAGCTGAAAAGGTTGCATGTGAGGCAATGAATAGCAGAAATATTTGTGTGCCATTTTTATATCAACATGTTAATGTGTGCTAATGAATTTTAGAGTGGATTTTTTTAAAAACATGACTATTGTAATTAAAAGCTTATGTGATTTAAATACAAGATGCAATGATGATTACCAGATTCTATTCCTCTTTATATTTTACATAAGACTTCCAGGGTTCCATAAGTATAATCTTGAAACATAGGACATTCCTGGAAAAAAAAATTGCTTAAAACTATTTCAGTGTGCAATCCACCTCTTTGTAAATGTTACTTTCTTCCATCCAAATATTACATTTGGCAACAAAACTCTCCGCTGAGAGCTTTCTCTTCCTTTTGTGTCATTGTTCCCTAAATAAAGCAACACATGAAATTCCTGACGGCAAAAATCAGACTCAGATCCCAAAACCTCTGTCTTTATGCAAGATTTATCTTTTGCATTGGAAACGGCCAAGGAATATGAAGAGGGGAAAGAAGAGGCAAACAGACAAGCATGCAGGCTCTGAGGAATAAATGCCCCTCAGGACGCTGTCTCCTGGGGAATTGCAAACCTCAGTCCGTTTCTGAGGAAGTGCGGTCTCTGCATTTCTGAAAGAGGTATTTCCCCCCCTTGACACAAGGAGCATGGTAATGAATTGACTAGTTAAAAACTGTTGGTTGGAAAAACCCGTCCCTGTGTCTTTCTGAGCAGGGCGAGCTGAGCTGTCCGCGAGGCTGCGGCAGGAGGCCTCGTCCTCCCGGGCAGGGTCCCTCCTGGAGGCTCCCCCGGTCTCTCCCAGACGCACCCGCGCCGCGTCCTTGTTCCCCGGGAGCAGCCTCCCTCCAGCCGCCGGTCCTGGGAGCTTCACCGTCCAAACGGGAGCTGAGTTTGCAAGCGGCCAGGCGGCGGTGCGGCTGGTGCTGCTGCTGATGTCAGAGCCAGAAAGCAGTTGTGATTGGATCTAATTAGACGCTGCTGCAGCAAATAGACAAGCTCCCTGCGTGATTGGCTTCAAAGTGGCTGGTGCCAAACAACTAGCAGAGGCGCAAAAGTAGCCTCCCTGCGCTGGGAGCCCAGAGCAGGAGGCAGAGCCCGCGGGAAGCTCGGAGCACTCAGGACGCCGCGCGCCCTTCCCCGCCCTCCCTGACCAGGGAGCAGCTCGCTCCAGGCGCCCAGCCGAGGCCCCCAGCCCAGTGGGAGCAAGTCATAGAGAACAATTCGAGAGACAGAGAGACGGAGCGCGCTTTCCTGCTCAGTCCTGAAAAGTGAGCCGCTCCCGGGTTTGCAACCTCAAGCTTCGCAGCAGCGGCGGCGGCGGCTGCCGGGAAGGAGGCAGGTGCAGGTGCAGGAGGGAGGCGGCTCTGGGCTCCGCGCCTGGGTCTCGGCCATGGCCTCGGTCCTGGGGAGCGGCAGAGGGTCTGGAGGGCTGAGCAGTCAACTCAAATGCAAGTCCAAGAGGAGGAGGAGGCGGAGGTCCAAGCGGAAAGGTAAGGACCGCGTGGCGCGCCGGCCCCTGCCCCCCTTCACCCCCGGCTTCTCCACCCCGGCCTCTCATGGGGTCTCCGGGCTTGTCCGTTGTGAGCAGCTTCACTTTGGGGTGCTGGCGGGATGGCTGCTCCGTGCAGGGCGCTCGGGAGTTCAGATCCCGTGGAAATGTCTGGGGCCTCCTCTTGCCCAGAGGGGACAGTGAGCAGCCACGCTGCGACATGTTTGAGGGACCCGGACGAAGTGGGGCGAGGGCGGCGAGGAGCTCCCCGGGGACCCCGCGCGTCTCCGGGCCCCGCAGTCCCCAGTGGCCGGCCGGGCTGGCACTGCCTTCCACCCTCCGGAGGCCATCTCGTCTCCCAGTGCCAAAGGAATTACCCAAAAACGGGGGAACGAGCCCTCGCGCCAGCTACTCCCATCCAAACTGTCCCGGAGGAAGGGATAGGCGAAGCCCTGCGATCGCCTCTCCAAATTGGCTGGCAGTTTTTACTCAATGTGGTGCCCGTCGATTTGTAAACATTGGGTCGTAAAGAGAACACAGGGCTCGTCCTTGGAGAAATAAGCAGAAATGAATACAGGAAAACAGAAAGAAGCATCATATTTTGTTAGTGGTAGAAAAAAACCGCAAACCAGGAAAGCAGGAAAAGCAGCCGGCTGACAGCGGCCACTGACAAACTCAGCTGTGCCTTGTTACTGATATTCCTGGGGCTGGGCCGCGCTGAAGTTAGTCAATGCTACAGCAAGGGAGGGCTTTCACACTGGGGATTTTGCAAAATTAGCAATCGCTCCAATATGAGAGCAATGCCCCCAGTGCCATCGTAGCCTGTGTGCATGCCAGGAAGAATTAAAAGATTCTTCTCATGCCGACCCTTCTCTCCTAGAGGAACCTGTGTTATTGTCAGTTCCTAGTGAGCCTGCAGGAGAAAGTTCAGTTCTAATCATGATTTGAAATGTGCTGATTTTTTTTAAGTGAGGTAGAAGTATAAAGAACGGTTGGAAAAACACAGCTAGAATTGATCAGCTTTGCCAGTTGTTTGAAAGCAGGAGGCAACGTTAGGTGTGTTTGGGGTTGTCCATCTTTCCTGAAGAATTTTCATCTTTGCATTGGCCTAAGATAAGTTTCTACCAGACCGTTTCCTGTGTGCCCTCGAACCGTCACCAGGTCCTTTATTGCCTCTTCCAATAATAGAAATTATCCAGACAGTCAGCAGGCATAAATGTCAATAGCAAACAGTCATTCATTATGACCGAACGTCAGGACCACTGGGAGGGATTGGCCCCCACAACTTCCTCAAAAGGTTTTGGAGCCTTTGGTTTCAGAAGGGAGGTGATGTTGTGGTTCTCATTTACCTCTCAGCTGCTAAGTGTGCGCTTGCGATTCACTTTGTTGTTTGAAATTATCATTTTGAAACAGACCTGTTAGTGTCCTCCAAAGATAATGCCAACACAAAGTGGCATTGATATTGAGAAAGTCACCGGATTGAATAATGAATATGACTTTTAAAAGAGGAAAAAGGAAGCATCATCTTTACACTTGAAATGTTCACATTTCCCAATATTTTTTGATTAGTCTATTTAAATATTTAGAGTTGAAGAATGTGGAGTAATAGTTCGCAATAATGCATTTTATAAATATAAACAGGAGGAAAGTGTTGCCTTTCTCCAAATTCACTTGCCTTGCCAGGAAGCGTCAGTCATGCTAGCTTAGAAAGTATTCAATTTAGGGGGAAAAAGGAAATCTGGGGAAAGACTTCATTTGCTATAAACTTAACTTTAGCAATTCAAAATAAAACTCCTATAGCAAATATTTCCATACCTTGGTTATTTTGAATATGTCAAGTCCCTTAATTTTCATAGCCAAAAATTGAAGCGGGAAAGGGCATTCAGGTTTTGTACACTGATTTCTGTTACGAAGAGATTTCTGGCGTGCGGGAGAATTTCCCAGGGCACCTGCCGGCAGCTATCTTGATAGGAAAGTCAAATCAAACGGCTAAAGATTCAATTTTTGGGGAAACGTTAACCATGTAGATGTAACTGATCAAATTAAAAGGTAAAGTAACCAGCTAAGAGACACATTAAATAATTATTTGCATTTTCCTGGGAATTGATTACTTCATCTATGATACCTAGTTATTACAGATGCTGATATTTTTTATTTTATAAAAACAATGGTGAGTTTAAATTATGTTCTAATTGTCATGAATCTTAACAACCATAAATGAATAGAATAACCTCAATTTTAAGCTTATCTGATATTAAAACTCTATACTTGCCACAATTTAAAATCCACGTGTGTATGAGAGACTGTTAAGGAATTTAGTGTGGCTCTATTAGGTGCTAACTGAAGACACTGACAGAAGCACAAGGTAAGGGCTGTTCTTATGGGGGAATAAAGACAATTAAGATACATGCTGACCCTGTTGCCTGTCAGATGCGTATTTCTACCTAGTCTAAGGGACAAGAATCATTTTTGAAGATGCATGATAACTTTAATTTCCCAGTGTGGTGACATCTGGCTCCTTTTCTATGTGTGACTCTGAGAGTGACTTTGGCATGATATGCTTCTTATCAAAATGATCTGTGAGCTCTGAAATAAAGCATGCCGGGGCTACCACTGAAGGGTGGTCAGGACACAATACTTTCATTAAGTATAATCCATAGTCTTGGAAATGATATTTTTTTCTGTAGAAGTTATATTTTAGTTACTATGCCACAAAGGCAGCTGTATGTATCTTTAAAAAAAAAAAAAAAAAAAACACCTTCGTCACAGAATATGACTTTCAGGTATTATTTGGCAGGAACCTGTATTTCTCTCTCAAATAAACTTTAAAGAAGGTTCTCAGAATATGTCTCCCCACACATCAATCCTACTTCTGTTATTTTACTGGGACCTAGTGTTGTACAATTTTGTGTTTTCTGTGTTATTTTTCAGCAGGGACTTTCTTTTAGAAATTATTCATAAATGGTTTAAATTTTTTATGTAAATGAAAAATGCCAAAATTTGACTCTCATATAAGAGAAAAACAAGCTGCTGAAAAAAAAAAAACTATGAGAAGGACAGGGAAAATCTCTCTCATTTTTACATCGCGGCAAAGCAACGTTCATATCCCATGACACATGCCAGACACGTCAGTGTGTCCCGCGCCTGCCTCACTCAGAGGCGTTCGGAAAATAGTAGCACTTGGAGGTTATGGAGACTGTTACCTGCCATCACTAAATACCCCTGGAGTTCATTTCTCACACAGTACCAGGAGATTGCACTTTATTTTATAGTTCTTGGTAATTATGTACAACAAAATCCATATTATGTGGTTATATAGAGTAATATCTGCCTGTATTAGAAAATAGCTCAATGTGTACGTATTAAAAAAGGATACACTTTAACCAAAAAATAATAAAGAAAAAGGGTTTTTTTTGTTAATATCCGTTCAACCAGGTAGATTAAGAGGCAGAACTCAACAAAACAGTAGAGTATATAAAAATAAATCACTTTAAAATATGCCAATAATTCTCTGAACCCTGGAATAACTTCAGGGTAGTATGTATGAGGAATTTCTTAAATGTTTTTAGTTATTAAAACAGTGCATATATTCTGCTTTGTCTATCTGTTTTTCTCTCTTTTGTGAATGTATTTTTTTTTCTAAAAGAAGCTATGCATTGGCATGAAAGGCATTTTGCAAATGAAATATTTTTAATCTTCTACCCATTACTGTGTACAATGTGTAAAATGACTGAAGTTTCCAGAATTTTTCTTTGAAAAAGGCTGTTTCAAGGCAAACATATTTGGAAATAGATTGAGGGCCAATCCAAAATCAGCTGATTCCACAAGGTACATTGGAGGCTGGGGTTTTAGAAGCGGCGTGTCAATCTTCACAGAGTGGAAAGGGGAAGGGGCTTCAGGGGTGACTGGCCATGCAGGATCCGCAATCATCCGGGGCCGGTCGGGTTGCATTTGAGCTTTGGCACAGGACACCTCTTTGAGGCATTTGACAGCAAAATAAGTTATCTTGAAATTTAGGTATTGTTCTAGAGTGGTTGGTTATACAGAGTTTTAGAAACTTGAAAATACATTTTGAGCACGAGGTAGCTCTATAAAAGTAAAGCCATGACTCATGGGAAGGTGTGGAGAACGGGCAGGTTGCTGAATGTTGTGAAATGCAAATAAAAAGTTGGCAAAAGGAACAAAATAAGTCGAGCAGATGGATGGCAGACGCCGGCTTGCTGTGAAATGAAAATCCATGAAAAATTAATGAAATAGAAAGATTGTGCTGAGGATGAGGGCAGAGCGGCCGTGGGCTCCGCAGCCCCTGCAATGCTACAGTCGTCCCCGCCGGTGTCACCCTGGCTGGCCAGGGACACAGTCCTGCACCGCCGGCCGGAGCCCCACATCCTCCGCTTATCTCGCTCACTGACAGCTCAAGAGGAAGGGCTGGATTTACTGATAAAATCAAATTGATTCAACCGTTAACCAGCACCTAATTGTGTGGTGCTTTTTTTCCCCCTTTCTCTTTTTAAAAATTTTGTATCAGTGCCTCTGGTTTCTAGTGACCCATGTAATAACAGTAATTGGAGATTGCTTCAAGGGCATTAGATATGACGTGCGAGTTTGAATGTAGAATAAAAATATGGGATTCGTGTATCCATATCTAAACAGGGGTGACTCGGTTCCTGCAGAAGAACCATCTCAGAAGCGCATTACGTAAGGAAACATAGAAAAGGAAATTTTTTTTTTTTTTTTGAGGCATGAAAAGATAACTTATGCCCTAAAAGCATTTAATGTTCAATTTTAAAACTATACATCTGTATAGTATGATATATATACACACATACATATTATATATATACATGTATATTACTATGTATGTATGTATATGTATATACACGGTAAAAGCAGCTGAAACATTTGAGCAATTTTTATACCCCCTACTTCTTTTTCCAAAATAGTAGAAAATGAATGTCAGTATTTTTGCAATATGAACAATTTTGAACAACTCCTAAAACCAAAATTATTGTAATACTCTGTTTCTCATCATTTAAAAATATTATATCAAAACAGATATTGCAGTTTTAAATTTGGTTCTTAATTACTAGCTCACAAGATTTCTAAAAGGATAATTTTCCACATTGTAAGCAAGACTTTATAAGTGCTTATTGCCATTTTGAAACCGAATATACGAATAAAGGTGAATGAATGCCAAGTGAACTATGAAAAGCCTGGCTGCCCTTCACAGAATATTCAAACTACTGTGTGTTGATGCCGTCTCTGTGGTTAGGATAGCTCAAGAAAAGCAGCAGGGGCTGCACTCTGCCTGGTGTGTGGCCGAGAACCTGATTCGTGTTGTTAAGTATTTGCAAATAGAATGAAACTAAATTAACCTCTATCTGTACAATTAAAAGTTTTTTCTCCACTCAGAGAAACAGAGGCTGCTTAATACTTGATTTTTCAAAGGCGATTGTTTATTCCTAGCTTTTGATATAACTCAATTAAGAACATACCAATATCAAATAGAGACATTACATTCAAAAAGAGAAGAAACAATGCTTATAAAATTTTTGGTTCACAGGGACAGCTAACGTGCTCTGGTGAGACTTTAGAAAACAGGAAGGGAAGGGAACATTGAGAAATTTAGGACCTTGGAGCCAGAACTCCTCTCTGCTTGCATATGTTACTGTCTTAGTATCAAGACATCCCTGTTCAGCAATTAAAATTGGGCTTTTATTTACTCGTTTATTTGATTTAAAAGGAATGGAGGACGGGGCTATTTTATCTGATTGCTTGCCTGACATTGTTTAAGCAACGCCCTAGCAAACAGGGCTCGTAGGCCCTGAATCTCCATCTGCAAGTTTATGAGTGAATCCATTTTCCCGGAAACCACATCCAAATATTAGCAACTTAGAAACTGACATGTTTGCTTTTCAAGAGATCCACAATCTCCCTCCAGCCCCTAAAATTTGGTCATTTGCAAAGATAGCAGACTTTTCTGAAGAACGATCTATATTTGGAAATAAAGAGTTAATCTGAATTTCCCAGGCCCTCCATATGCACTGTGGATATTTAATCACCTTTTATTCTAGTCATAGGTATTGAGTAGGAAGAGCAGCAAAATAATTACATTGTATTATTTTATTGATGGTGAATGAATACAGTTAGTATCTAGTTTCTGGCAGGAAAATGTCTGGTAAGTCCTCTTTGGGTTATAAAATACATATATATTGGAATTTAGTATCATCTGTTTTAAATTACAAAAATGATCAATAGTTAACGTTCAGTTTTTTAATCTGAAAACATAGCAGAACAGATCATCTAAATTCCATATTTATATTAAGGAGGGGATTTTATACTTAAGAAATAGTGTCCAATAAATCATGCATTCCTATAAAAAAAGAAGAGTAACATGTGTGCTTAAGTTCGAAGAGAAAGATGATATAAATGCTCAGGTGACTTAGATTTTAAGGAAATTTATTTCAACTCTCTAAGAGGTGAAATTTTTGAAAGTTTTTTCAGCTGTGTACACTTAAAATTGTGGCATTCAGGTGGCTTCGTTGAGCTGCTTCCAAGGCAGAGGGCAACTAGGACCCTCGTGTTTGTGTAACTAAACAGCTAATTCAGTTCTGATGCAAATGGTCACACCAGCTGAAGCCTCACGCGGAAGAGGGCCACACTGTGTACAAGCAAAATCTCCCACGGATCAGAAAGAGAAACCCAGCAGTGGGGATGCAAAGGTGAAAGGGGGCAGTTATTATTTTTGGTGTTAAGTACCGTCTCACTCCTACGGATCTCTAACTCAAATCTGGCCACGTTCATCACTGCACGTCTTTTTAACGGTGCCAGCAACAGATCACTCATTTGCAAAACAGATCCAGGTTTCTCTCTGTGGCTGTTGTTTTGCCATTTGGATCATAAATAAAATGAACATTGCTCAGAATCTATTTGTAAACCCACTTCTCTAGGGCCTCTAATAGATGGAGTGAATCTTATGCCCAAATGATAGCTCAACACCTTCAGGTGATTTGCACATAATGGAAAGAATTCCTTTAAACCCCTTAACCAGGATGTGCTTTGGAGAATTTATCGATTTAATTAATCTGTGCTGCTCCATTTATTTGAGATGAAGTCTTTGATTCTTGTTTCCCACTGCCGACAGACAGAAGCTCTGCCTCATCATTTCCCTAATGTCTGATGTGATTTCTCAAATACGTCTTCTCAAAGGTGGTATTAAAATAGGATGGGGAGCTCAGTTCTCAGAAACTGGAGCCTCCTCCTACCTGAAAATGCTAACCCAAGTCAAATCTCTTCTTATGGCTAAAAACAAACGAGTAGAGGGTCCTTACTGTTGCTAAGAAGCAGGACTTGAGACCCATAGCAGGAGAGCTCAAAGCATATACCTAGGGCGCTGATAATGATTAAACAAAAAGCAGGTTTTATTAGTTTAAGTCCACCGGAAGTATAAAAATGTCCTCTCTTTAAAATAATTGCAATATTTCCTAAAAGTGTAATTGCATTTGGGAAAAAAATGCAATTTAATAAACATGACAGAAACATCAGTAGAATAGATTCTGACCTCCTCCAAACCCCAAGTCTGGCTGGGTTCACTCATCCCTGTCTGGAGCAGATGCTGTGCTTGCATTGGGCTTATAGCTGTGAAAATAGCCACATTCTTTAAGGAAGTACCTGCCCTCTTTGTGTTAGACTGTGTTCAGGACTGAGGACAGAAATGTAAAGTATATACAAGCTCAGACACTATCTGATGTGTACAATTAAAAAGGACATTGTTTTTATAAATTTGGGGATCTACAAATGATTTGTTTTATTAAAAAACAATACCTTTTACTATTCCTTAGGTAAAGAAAAACATAGGTAGCCTAATTTAACCACAGACACAAAGATATTTTATTCATGCTTCAATTCTAAATGTTACTACTACAGATAACCTTTTTAAAGGACTATCCAGGCTCTCAAAGAATTCTAACAGAGTTTTCAATCCAAAATACATGGCTCAAGGAGAAATTTTGAAAATTCTCAGAATTCTATGCCAATTTTTTCTGAAGAAGAAATAATTTTGAGATAAACATCATTGTTGGAGTTCTAGGAAAAGTACTAGGATAAGCAGTAGCTTTTGAAAAAACTCCAAGACAGTAGCATGAGGAATGTAGAAACTTTGACAGCCCTGAGTGATACTGAACTGAGAGCAAAAGCTGTTGCCTCTAGAAGTATAATAGCTTTGATGTGTAGCAAAGCATTATTCCAACATCCTTATACTGTTTCACTCTCAGGAACTAAAGATGGGTATATATTCAGCACTGACTGACCTGCAGGGAAATATTTATTAGCCATTTAGGAAGTTAAGGTTCTTTGTTTTTAAGTATAACAAATGTGAGAGTTCATATAATTTTATGTAATCACCTGAGTTTTTAATCAAATTTTTGCTTCAGGGAAGTTAAATCATGACAGGGGCTCTTGTATGTGGGTAATGAATAGAAGGCATGCCGTTAACATGTGCACTTGTGTGTTTGTGCAGATGTCTAATATATGCACACGACGTAGAGGGATGACAGACTCAAGAGGTAAAGCACAAAAGCGTTTATTCAAATAGAGAAAGTTGAAATATTAAAAGACTCCCCAGCTCTAGAACAGCAGCAGTCTAATATAAACATTACAAAAATCATGTAGAGAAAGAAATCTTCACTAAACCTCTGAGAGCACAAATTCTTTGGGAGGCAATGAAAAAGAATGTTGGTTTGTGACTGTGTTTTAGAGTATGGAGAGAAACACTAATTGCTTAATTGTAAAAATTGCAAAACATCATTGTTTAAAGTCTCCCTTTGTGCATATTTTACACCAACTGAAATAAATCTTTTTGTCATTGCCACTAATAAAAAAAATCTATCTTCTTACATCATAAAAGAGAAACAACAACCACATTGGTGTGAAGGAAGGGATTTTAATGGAAAGAGAGACAAAGAATAACTTCCAAGTCTCTTCCTGTGCCTGATTAAAGTTCATCTTTCTTGCATTTTGCTTTATGTGGCTACCAATACAGAAAGAACACTTGATTTTAAAGTATGGTGCGTGCTATCCAATTCTGCTCTGTTTGCAATTTTGCCTTAAACATTATATGTGTCTTTAGACAAAAACTGTATTGGGCATGAGTCTTATTTATTTATTTATTCATGTGTAAATCTATCTCCAGTGCCTACCGTGAGACAGGCAAAGAGTGAGGCATCACAATGACATGAGCAAAAGGAGTGGACGCGGCCCTTCCTCCTGAGCTTCTATTGTTTATGGAGATACAGAGGCACACACATGAAATCCGAACAGGGAACAAAAATAACCTTCCGTGATCTCAACACTATATATATATATAAATTATCATCAGATGGGCTTACAAAAATAGATTTCTATTGTATTTCCTTTATTATATCAAATGAAAGTTCTTTGTAAAACTAAACCGTTAAAATGTAAACCCCTTTAAGTTTGAACATTTCTATTCTTTCTACAATATCAAAACATAATAGCTACTCAATTAAAACCCACTGAGAAAACTGATTGCGTTTTTGTAATAAGAATTTCTTAAATAATCGGAACTCTCTGGGAGAGGGGAACATTTTCGGGGGAGGCTGTGGAGAGATGGGCTGAGCTGTCGTCTTTTACACAGGGCAGCACTCAGCGTGGAGTAGGGTTTGGAGGTGGCTTCCATGACCACCTTTGGGGTGACGAGACGAGCAGAGAAGACATCTTCCTTGGTTTTGCTCTGCGGGGCTCCCCGCAGGTGTGGGTGCTGGTGGTGCTTCCTCCTTTGTTGGGATTTCTCAAGAATGGGGGCCAAAATCCACATCTCTGGGCTCCCAGAAACCAGCATAGAGATTGTCTCGCCGCATACCACGAATACATGCTTGTTGTAGAATTTATTATCAGATTTACATTGTACATTTACAAAGCGCCCTGTCGGGTTTATTTTTAAGCCACAGTTATGTAAATTGGAGTCTGTCCATTCAGCAAACATTTACTGAACACCTTTCGTTGTCAGTCACTGTGCTACATGGTAGAGATTAAGCAGGAACAGAAGCTCTAGAACATGTTCTAAAAACGCCAGAGAGCAAGTCTGAATGTGGTTTGCCTTCTCCGTGGTCTCTGTTGAAGATGGGCGCCCTCGCTGTCCTTCCCCGGGCCCTCTCCCTGGCCCCTCTGCTGTGCTTCCAGCGTGAGCCCCTGAGGTCTCACTGGGATGCACACACTCCTCCCCACACTCCTCCCTCCTGAATGCACAGCTGCTCTCCAGTCTCCCTCACCTGCAAGCAGGTCCCCAGCTCCCCATCTACGGAGAGCCAGGCACTGCCCAGGGCCCAGGACCCTCTGGCTTCTTGCAGCTCAGGGCAAGTGCTGCCTGCCTATCTCATGAAAAATCCAGGCAGCTGGGGAAACCGAGGACTCTGACTCTCAACAGAGCATGGCCTCGTTCGTGACCAAGGACGGCATCTCTTTGCCTGGAGGTCGGTCATGTGAAGCAGGATACACACTCATCTGTCTCACACGATTTACAGAGTCATCCATAGAGTCACAGAAGGTGCTGGCAGCACCACGTCCACTCAATACTGTGGATATCGGATAGGGAACGGAAAAGGCGACAGTCACCGAGAGTGAATGGTCCCTTGTTTCTATGTAGACAGCATGTCTCTTGGTCTTATCTTATTAGATAACTTTGGAATCATATCAATCACCCATCATCCAACTATCTACCATCTACCTTACTGATCTGTCATCTATCACCTAGAATCTAAACAATCTATCGTCTGTTCCTTTTCTCTCATACACACTAAGTAAGCAGGAGACATATGTAGAGGCTACACCCAACCGCACTGTAGAGAATAAATAAAATTCTGTCATATGTGCTACTTGCCTAGGCTCTGCTCATTTTTGGCCACAGGAATATTGGCTGCAGCAGTTGGGCAGAGATCCTTACCCGTAATAGTATTTAGTAATACCTCAAAACTTGAACATCAGGGAAACTAAAAATGCGAGTTGCTAAAATGGAAATCAGTCAACAGATTGAATGCTGTATACTGTTTGTACATATTTATGCGTAATCACTGATAAACACAGTAGAATTCTGGGGTTAGCCCCTGTACTCTTGACTATGAAAACATTTTATCCGTAGTCCAGTGTGGCTGAAGAAATGGCCTTCATGCCTCTCTCCCTGGGACTTCTCACCTTCCTTCGGTTCGGGATGAGCTGATTCCTTAGTGTTTCCCAGGATAGCTTCACCCGCACCTCTAGAAAGGTTAGTGTCTTGTGTCAGCGTTCTTGTCACTCATAACAAAAAACGCATCTGCGGCTGAGGACATTCAAACTTCGGATACGAGTGCGGCAGCGTGGCCTTCTGTCCTGGAAGTGAATGTCTTTGCTCCCTGCTCTCTCGGGTGTTGCCCCGGGTGGGTGGGTAATTCCCCCGCTGTGGGGTCCTGGGCGTCTCTTCTGGGTGGTGGGGGGCTTTCCCTGCTTCAGGGTCCTGGACGTCTCTTCCCGGCGCGGGGAGGGGGTCTTCCCCCACCGCAGAGTCCTGGGCGTCTCTTCCTCTGGGCTGCAGGACTCACTTGCGAGTGTTTTTCATGTGACTCTGAAGCGGTGACATGTGATTTATTCTGATGTATTTTTGCAAGAAGGAATGACATTCTAGTCTGGGCTCATGTCAGAAAGAGGCCCCCCTACCCATGATGGAGAAGAAATAAATAGAACCGCGTGTGTGCCACAGCCATGTGACATCGCGAGACCACTCCGGTTCAGGAGTCAGGGACGTGCCCCTTTACTCACATTCCAGGCAAAATATATTCACTAAAAATTCATGAGATTGGATGTATCTATTTTACAGCACGTTAACGCGGCCCCTGAGGTTAGCACGATGCAGGGAGGACATGTCCTGGCAGGTTCATCTGGTTGGGACTTTCCTTCTCTGCAGGGTCCATGCGCTCAGTCAGGTGTGAATCAGTGCAGTGCGTCTGTTTAACTGATTGTCCGTTTGGCCCTTAGGCAATAGGAACTAAAGATTAATAACTAATATTTACTGAGCCCTTATCCTGTCCTAACAGCTTCATGTGCATTGCCTCATTTAATCCTCCCAACAACACTACAAGGCAGTGACATTTATTGTCTTCATTTTACAGCGTTGGCGTGGAGAGGTTAGAGCAAGTACCTGTGGCCCCTCATCAGGCATTGTGGCTGTCCACATTCTCCCTACGACACCCCTGCTTATTAAAGTTCTGTGGCCCCCACCCTAGGTTACATCCTCTCTCCCACAAAGGGTAGACGTGGCTAGGGTCCCCCATTTTGAATATGGAACTTCCAGACCAATTTATTCTTTCCTCTGGTTCTTCTTTTATTGCTCTATGGGACCTGAAGCTCTTCCAGGACCCCACCAGGCTGTGGCTCACTGAGGCAGAGAGCACAGTGGGACCCTGGCCATGGAAATGAGGAGCATCATCACTTTCTGTCGGGGACCCAGGATGACAGGCAGGCCCTCCTGCTGCTGCGCACACAAGGAGCCTCCGAGGCTGCTGGGGTTTGGGGGACTGGCTCTGATGGAGATGCTTTTGGGGGCTTGGTGCATCTGTCCCTTGGGAACGAAGATAAACCAGGCAGGCTATGTGCCCTGACCTCTCAGGGAGAAGAGTGCTTTCACCTGATCCTGTGAGAGTGTCCTTCGACACCACCAGGACACAGATAACAGCTCTTTACAGT
Source organism: Homo sapiens (assembly GCF_000001405.40). Lineage (NCBI taxonomy): Eukaryota > Metazoa > Chordata > Mammalia > Primates > Hominidae > Homo > Homo sapiens. Next base: position 1,724,319 of record NC_000010.11, on the reverse strand, counting down.
TAGAATAATTAGCCAGGCAAGAATTGTGCACCTCATGGTTCTGTATGGGCCAGATGCAGAGATGGGTGCAGCTGAAAAGCCAGCAGCAGAAAAAGCCCCAGTCCTGAGGACACACAGGCACATGCATGTGCTTTTAATCTTGGCTGCACGCTTTTCAGCTGTATGTTTTCAGCTTCATTTTACCTTGCGCACCTCTTTAAAGACCCCATCTTCAAATATGGTCACACTGTGAGGCACCACAGGTCAGGACTTAAATGCATGAATTTTGGGGGAACACCATTCAGCCCATGACAGAGAGAAAACCACAGAAATTCACCTTCGGAAACATTTTCTGAAAACTAAAGCTTACGGTTAGGGTATCAGTGCCCTTTTCCCAGAAACATTATCTCTACCTCAATAAGGGCCAGAAAATTCATAAATCCCACCTTCATCCCTGTAGCATCACTGCTAGAAAACCATCACGTCTCCAGGGTGAGAAATACTTTTGGAATTGAACTAACCTCTGATTAGGTTCCCCTTGATGTCTTTGCCACGTGGTGCCCTCTAACAGGGTGGTTAGAAGGTAAGTAGTTTTATTTCATTCCACCTTTTGATTTCTCCCTTCCTGGCCCTTTGGAAGGTGCCCATTTCTCATTAAAGATGGAGAGAACCGTGGTGATTCTAAGAAGGGCTGCTGTCCCCTGTGCAGGTGGCAAGCGGACCGTTCTCACTTCTCGCTGACAGTTCTTTTCCCAGGTTTGATAAGGTCTGCTTCATAACTCTCTTATGGGGAGGTAAAAAGGACCTAAGACACCATCAACTAAACTGTGTCTCTATCTCCTGGATGAGGGAAGTGAGGCCCAAAGAATGCAAGTGGCTACCGAAGAAAGCGAGATGGTGAGAGCAAGCCTGAATCAGAGCCTGGTCCCTCCGGCCCCACCGGCTGTTCTTTGCTTAAGAAGGGACCAAGGCCCTGGAGCAGGATTGAACAGGTGGGTTCAGAAAGGCCACGGGGAGAGCTCAGGTCCCCAGAGGACAGGAGCACAAAACTCAGGAGCAGATGTTCTCTGGGCAATGTAGAGCGAATCGCCACTTAGAAAAGACACTGCTGGAAGCTCTTCCATGTTGCTGTTAAAACAGAAGTCTCAGAAACAGTGTGTTAGCAGTGGCCGTAAAAGCTACATCATAGGACCATGACACACAAGGGCCTTCTGAGAAGGGGCATGCGCTCCCGTTTCCAGGGAGATACTGAATAGCGTGCAGCCCAGCTCACACCTTAGTGACATGTGTTGTCCACACCTGTGTGTGCATGTGTGTGTATGTGCATGTGTACACATGAATATGAATATAGGACACCTTAGTGTGTATGTGCACACCTGTGTGTGCGTGTATGTGTGTGTGTACACATGTATATGAATATGGGTAAATATACACGTATGTATAGGCACACTCCACTGTGCTTTTGCTTGCTTAAGTAATACACGTTTTTGATTTGAGGGTTAAAGGAAACTGCAGAGGTCGTTGAACTAGATTCAGATAGGCAAACGTCTTCATTTTTCAGATATCTATATAATAAGTACATTGAATTCCAAAATAATTATTAATCACAGCACAAGGTAAAAATCTTTAAGGAATGCAATGAATTAAGACGAGGGGTGAGGGAATTTTTCATTCTATTTCCCAAGAGAAGAATAGAAAAAATAGGAAGTTGATGTGCTACCAAGAAACGGAATGAAATACAGCACATTATTCATTCGATAAAACCCGGAACTAAATTTGAAAATTACAAAGTGTGCTTATCAGGTTGATACTCATGCTTTGGGTTACCGGGCATGTAGATTTACAATGAGGACCTACTGCGTTCCCTTGTGTGCCCCTGTGTGTTTGTGTAGAGGATACTTTCATCCACTTGCCTGCATAAACAAGAAGTCACTTCTTAGATTAACTGATTCAGAGTCAGTGCTGGTAAAACAAAGTGGAATTGAAGCCACAGGTAAATGTGCATGTTCTATTTTAACCTCAGTAAGTCAGTGAATGAAAAGTAGATTACAGAAATAAATCTGCATGCACAATAATAGCCAGGACATTTGAACTCACTCTAAGTGACCAGTGCCCCAAATGTCAATTTAAAGGTTAAATAAGTGCGACCCTCCCAAGAAAACATGTTGTAACGTTGTAGCACCCCCACAGTGTAACGAAGGGTTTACAGTGAAATAGAGTCTACACAATTTCATGACACACCAACTGACTAAAATAGCTCTTCCCATCTGTTCCCAATCTTACTTATAAAGTCGTTTTACATAAACACTCACAGGTAGGACTTCTGATAGTTAAACATTTTAAACCTTTAAATATAGTAAACAAATCCCCGATTCTTGGTGGCATTTTATTAGCAATGAGCCAGTAAGTATCAATCTCTGATCACCAGGAATGAGGGGTGCTCTCATGCCGCTGAACTTCGACAAGGGGGCAGATGGAGACGATTTCTCTGGACCCCTCTCCAGTCAGTCCTGTGGACCCCAGGAGCACTGACCAAGGGCTGGGATGAGGCCAAGGCTGAGGGTAGATGAAAGCACAAATGCTGTGTCCCTGAGATCCAGAGCTCAGTCCAGAACAGACACATCATTGAGATAATATTGTATGTGACACTGAGGCCACACAAGGCCCTCTGTACATTTGGCTTAAATGGGCTTTTGTGAGCTTTGCTGCCGTTGCAATAATGCATAAAATTCTTTATGTGTAAAATACCTTCCTGTGCAAAGTCCCAATTGACTTCCAACAGAAATCACTTGCAATCTGTGTACCTAACACTAATGTGTCCAGCGTGTGTGTGTCTTTGCACTCCCTGTGATGTGTATGCACACAGCAAGCCCACCTAATTCAGTATAAATAGAATCCCACTAGGTGAAAGCTACTTGGGAAAATATAGAAAACACGCTGACAGTAAGGTGGTACTTTTAAAGTCTGTGTTTGATACTTGTTCTTTCTGAATTATTTTATGTCAACGTCAACATTCGTTTGGTCTTATCTGAACACATACAGCAAAATGTCACCTCTTGCAATATTTTGGTTTGTATTCTTCTCTTTATAGCTTTATTTTTAAAAAGTGACTTGAATTATTTACATAATTTTGATGATGATGAATTAACTTCTCTGCTGGGGCCAGGGCCCTTCTTTCTGCTGACATCCCCTCAAGCAGAGGAAGGCCAAACTTGAGCTGGAGATGCAGGTTTGTCAAATTAATCTCTTCCTGCATTTCCTTCAAGCGAGTGCTGGCCTTGTTTTCAGTTATGTTAACTGTATTCTTCCTCATAAAGTTCCACAATTGAATTCCCATTTTTGAAATCATCTTCATCCGAGCAGTGGGAAGATGCACATTCAAAGCGGCTTTGTGCAGGGAGAGGAGGTGGGTGCCTTTGCTTTCTGAAAACCTTCCAGACAGAAGCACTGCAGCGAGCCAGTGGCGCCAGGACATCGGGCACACACGTTAATAAACGTCTTTTATACCAGCTCCTCTTCTTTTTCCATATGATATTAGTTGCTGCCCCCAAATTTGCCTTGAGTGAGCTTCCTGCTCCTCCAAATGTTTTGCCACAGGGTTTCCACGTGTCCAGGGGCCCAGAGGCCCCCGCATGCTCCTGCAGTGTGGGCCAAAGTAGAAATAATGTCCCATTTCACCCCATCATCCATGAGACAATACCGATTACTCTGCTAAATATTCAAATAAAGACTGCCCCTAGATTTCTCTTTTGGCAATTTTTTTTGCCATCTACAAGTTAACCTATTTTTTTCCACTTTTATTTTAGATTCAGGGGATACTCAACTTTTATTTCAGATTCAGTTAACATGTGTGAGTTTCTTCCCTGAATAAATTGGGTGTCGCTGAGGTTTGGTATAGGATCTTCTCAGCCAGGGAGTGAGCATAGTACCTGGCAGTTTTTCAATCCTTGTTCTTCTCCGGACCCTTCTAGTGTTCCCAGTGTGTGTTGTTCCCATACCTGTGTCCATGAATACTCAGTGTTTACCTCCCACTTATAAGTGAGAACATGTGGTATTTGGTTTTCTATTCCTCTGTTAATTTTCTCAGGGTAACAGCCTCTAGCTGCATCCATGTTGCTGCAAAGAACATGATTTTATTCTTTTTCATGGCTGCATTATATTCCACAGTGTATGTGGACCTCATTTTCTTTATCCAATCCACCATCAATAGGCACTAGATTGATTCCATGCCTTTGCTATTGTGAATAGTGCTGCGATGAACATATAAGTGCATGTGTCTTTTAAGCAGAACAATTTATTTGGTGGGGGGTGGGTATACCCCCAGGAATGTGACTGCTGGGTTGAATGGTAGTTCTGTTTTAGGTCTTTGGAAAAGTTGGCTGAGCTAATTTACATTCCCACTAACAGTGTATAAGCATTCTCTTTTTTCCATAGCTTTGCCAGCATCTGATACCTTCTGACTTTTTGTCATAGCCATTCTGACTGGTATGAGATGGTATTGCATGGTGATTTTGATTTGCATTTCTCTAATGATTAGTCACGTTCAATGTTTTTCACATGCTTGTGGATCGCATGTTTGTCTTCTTTAGAGAACGTGTTTGATCATGTCCTTTGCCCATTTTTTAATAGGGTTGTTTGTTTTTTGCTTGTTGATTTATTTAGGTTCCTTATAGATTCTGAACCTTTGTCAGATACATGGTTTGCAAATATTTTCTCCCAATCCGTAGGTTGTCTGTTGCTCTGTTGATGGCTTCTTTTGCTGCGCAGAAGCTCTTTAGTTTAATTAGGTCCCATTTGCCAATTTTTGGTTTTGTTTCTTTTAGCAATTTTTTATCAAAAGGCCACTGTATAAAATGCTTCTGATTCAATGGAGCTAGGGAACAAATTAGTTTATTCTATAGATATCATATATTCAATTTAGAAGGCATTGTTTTTTCTGAAATCCAAAGATTTGAAATGTTGCACTTCATGAGAGAAGAATCAGTGGTGTAAAATGATGGGATCCCAATTTGGAGAGCAAGAGAATAGAGGAGTGTGTGAGACTGTAGTGCCCTGGGCATTGTAGAAGGTAAAGGTGGGCCAGGCATGGTGGTTCACACCTGTAATCCCAGCACTTTGGGAGGCTGAGGTGAGCCAATCACCTGAGGTCAGGAGTTCAAGACCAGCCTGGCCAACATGGTGAAACCCTGTTTCTACTGAAAATACAAAAACTAGCCAGGTATGGTAACACACACCTGTAATCCCAGCTACTACTTGGGAGGCTGAGGTGGGAGAATTGCTTGAACCTGGGAGGCAGAGGTTGCAGCGAGCTGACATCACGCCACTGCACTCCAGCCGTCTCAAAAAACAACAACAACAACAACAAAAAGAAGGTAAAGATAAACTTTTAGGCAGATTATACAGCTAAGAAAAATAGGAAAATCTGACCACTACAATCGAGGTAAATTTCCAAAGTTCCTTAATTCACAATCAATTGAGATGGAAAGGCAAAGTCTCTCATCTTGCCGAGAGGCTCAGGGACAGTCCCAGCCACAAGAACCTGCCTGGGAGCTGGAAGCCAGAGCCTGGAGCCCCCTCCTGGGAGGGCAGAGTCAGAAACACAACCTGGGGGCCTGGCCTCTGCCTGTCAACTGGGTCGTGCTGCCCCCCTAGGTAAAGCAGCCGTGAAGACCCTGGCCCCTGCTTTAGGGATGCTCAGAGCCGTGTTGCCAGCTGCAATCTCTAAACGCCGCTCCCTGTCTCATTCCTCCCACAGGGGCAATGCTCAGACATGGAGGCGGGGCAGGAGGTACAGGACAGCCCAGCATTTGCAGAGAGACTCGATTGTGGACTCACACGGAGGCATGCACACACACAAAAGGGCAAGGGTGACATTTCGGGTCAGCCCTGGGGGCTAGCATGTTCATTCCCCACCGTGTTCCCAGGGCAGTGGGGCCACAGGTGCCCAAGAACACTGGGAGGAAGCAGCCTCCCTACCAGCAGAAGCCTGACCGTCCATGCATGTGGGTGGGACCACGTTCTGGATGATTCCTCCAAGTCACAGGCAAGGAACATGGAGAGTGGGAAGAGCTAAGCTCCAGAATCAAAAAAGTACGACCAAATATAAGTTTCCCCCAGTTGTAGTTATTTGAATTCCATATTTTCAGTTTCTGCCCCGGCCATCACCTTCCTATGATGTGTGTTAGGTTTTCTCAGCATGATGGAAACAGCGACTTTCTGTTGCTGCTGTGTTTGTGCCTCTTGGTTTCCTCCTCCTCCCTCCCTCCTTCCCTCCCTTCCTTTCTTCCTTAGCATTTTTCTAACTATATTATTCATAGGCTTGTGAGTTTGATGTGCCTGCATTATAGTGTTCTAATTCCCATTAAAATATAAGATGGCATTTAATACATGTTTAAAAGTTTTTCATATGCCACCCAAAATCAGCTTGCAAGCCACCCTTAGCCATACATATTGAAAGACTGGTGTCTGGGTGTGGGGGCTCACACCTATAATCCCAGCACTTTGGGAGGCCCAGGCAGGTGGATCACTTGAGGTCAAGAGTTCAAGACCAGCCTAGCCTACATGACGAAACCCCATCTCTACTAAAAATACAAAAGTTAGTCCAGCGTGGTGGTGTGTGCTTGTAGTCCCAGCTACTCGGGAGTCTGGGGCGGGAGAATCTCCTGAACCCGGGAGGAGGAGGTTGCAGTGGGCTGAGATCATGCCATTGCACTCCAGACTTGGTGACAGAACGAGACTGTCTCAAAAAAAGAAGAAAGAAAGAAGGAAGGAAAGAAAAACGAAGGAAGGAAAAAGGAAAGGAAGGAAGGAAAGAAAGGAAAGAGAGAGAGAAAGAAAGAAAGGAAAGGAAGGAAGAAAGAAAAGAACAGAAAAGAAAAGAAAGAAAGAGACTGGAGTCCCTTCTCGCGCAGGGTCTGAGAGTGAGGACCCGTCTGAGGAGTGGGTGCAGAGGGAGGTTCAGACCTGCGGCTCTGTCAGGATGGACTTGTCACTGACACAGGCCCAGCTGCCCTGGGGTCCCCAGGGCTTCCCCGACTCAGATCCCTGTGCAACCAAATACACAGGGCCCTGGACAATGTTTCTGCCCCAAAATTGCTTTGAGAAATACATGGGCCAATCTGTGTCTGCAAATGGGAAGAGCTCAGAGATTTAAAAACAAAAAGCAAAAAAAAAAAAAAAAAAAAGCACACTACAAACCCAAGCAGAGACAGAGGAGCCGCTTCCCATCTTGGTTGTGAAACACGTGATCAGAATAACATGTGATCAGAATAACATGTGATCAGAATAACTTGTGATCAGAATAATGTGATCAGAATAACGTGATCAGAATAACATGAATGTGTGCAATGAAGCATGCTCTCTAATGCTCTCTAGGAATTTTAGGAGTGCCTTTAGCCCTTCCAATCCCAGTGAATTCAAAAGGCCTGCATGTGGTTTATTGTTATTCAAGGTATATGTAAACTTTACGGTTATTTTGTAGACTTTTTTCTTGTAGATCTTCTCTACAGTATAGCTCCTTGATAGTCATAAGGGATATATACTCAGAGATCTCAGAATCCTAAATCTGCCAAAGCATCCATGGCATGCCACTTCAACTGTGTAATGGAGTAAAGTAAAATTTCCAAATCAACTTTCATGTAATATATATTTATTTTTTAAAGTTTGGGGTATTTTGCTTTATATAAATGTATCAGGTTGTTTTGCTGTAAGACTTCTTAGAGGTAACGCACATTGAGAACCCCCAAGGAAAAGAGACACATGCCATGTTTTCTAAACTTATCTCAACTTTAAACAACTGTTTTGGAGGGAATGATACATTAATGCCTCACTTAATATTAGCAATCAATGCAATAAAATTAGGAAATGCTCAAATGATTAATTCACAATATCAAGAACTTTCACTGGCTGCTTCATAATGGAGCTGTCTACCAAGTAATCTACAATTTTTACTTTGTCTGAAATGTCTATTGTCTTTCCAAGGATCATGCTCTTTTTAGATCTTTCACACCTTCTTCCTGACTGTCTCCAGCTGTATTGGACAAATGTTTATCATTTTCTGGCTCTTCAGAGTCTAAAGCATCTTTCTGCCTGGGGCAGTTACAGAGGCTGCCCAGTGTGTTTTTGGAGCTCAGCAGGTGTGCATGAGTCGTGATGGAATGTACAGGGAGAACTGAGTAAGCAGTCGGGCGAGGAGTATGCACAGCAGGTGTGCATGAGTCATTGTGGAACGCGCACGGTGCACCCAGTTAGCAATCGGGAGAGGAGTGTGCACAGGAGGTGTGCATGAGTCGTGATGGAACGCGCAGGGCACACTGACTCAGCGGGCGGGAGGGGAGTGTGCATACAGCAGCTGGGCGTGAGTTGTGGAATGAACAGGGTGCACCAAGTTAGCAGTCGGGCGAGAAGTGTGCACAGCACCACCTGCAGGCAGCATTCCCTGCAGCCCTGCTGCTGTTCGGAAGGGTGTGCAGAGCTTGCGCCAGCCACTGAGGCAGAGGGGTGAGCAGCGGTGTTGGAGGCCATTGCCTAACTGTGCTGCAAGGCAGCTCTGGAACCTTCCGGAGCCTCCTGGCTTCCTCAGCGGCACCAGCTGGTCGCTCCAGGAGTGCTCTGTGTACTTCTAATACCTGTTTTTGTTTTTGTTTTTTTGCATAAAATTAATGGGTTTAGTTTCAACTGCTTGAAAATAAGAACTAGCATATGATTTTCTTCTCAGGACCTTTGTAAGATGATAGAAGAAGGCCAGATGAGGAAACACTGGTGAGAAGCAGATGTGGAACCACTGGCTGGGTTTCTGCTTCAGGATACTTAAGCTTTCCTACATTTCCTAGATTTGGGGGTCAATTTTCATCTACAATTTTTTTAAATCACATTTAATATTAAACAACCTTGAAAGTTTCTCAATCAAAATCTATTTGTACAGTAAAAAACAAATATTAAAAACACACTTAGTGACTTTTATTTCATTTTCAAACCCTACTTATTTCCAAAAAGAATTTCACAGGATTGCCATAAAAGGCATAGATAAAGTTCTGCCAATGGAAATACACTTCCACGTAGACTGGAAAAATCTGGGGATAATAAGACTATTGCAACTGAGCATCGAATGAAATGCTGGGCTTCCTGGCAGTCAAGGCAAAAAGGGAAACAGAATGATTTAGAGACTTCTTGCTTTCTAATAAAAGCAACCAAACCAGGATGTCACACCACAGAGAGAAAAGAATTAGGTTATTTGACTTAGGAAAGAATGAGAGCAGATATCACTAATTGGCTATGATGATGATAAAAGCCCCTTGTTGGGAACATCACACACCGGGGACTGTTGTGGGGTGGGGGGAGGGGGGAGGGATAGCATTAGGAGATATACCTAATGCTAAATGACCAGTTAATGGGTGCAGCACACCAACATGGCACATGTATACGTATGTAACAAACCTGCACGTTGTGCACATGTACCCTAAAACTTAAAGTATAATAATTTTAAAAAATAGCCCCTTGTTAAGGCTTCACTGAAGCATCTGGCTTTTGAGTAGCTGGTTCCAATGGGCTGTCCAGTGAGAATCAGCTATAAAATACACCCCTGGGTAAATGAAAGCCCTCACAGGCTTCGTGGAGCCACTTTCTAAGGTTCAGATGGGCACGGATGTGTCAGGTCTGCAAAGGCAGGTATTGATCTTCCTGCCTTCTGTGGGAGGAGGGTATGTATCTAAAAGAATGAAAGACAAGTAAAGTTACTTAAATAAGAAACATAAGAAGGGAGTTAGGACCCAGGCGTAGCTTTTACCACTTCAGGCTGAATACAGAGAAGACTGTTTCCACATTCTGAAAGTGTGCACAGATTCAAAAAGGCATTAAATGGGCGTTGGCTGGTTCAGATGCGTGCCTAGAGGCAGCTTTGACCAATGAAGTAAAGGCTTCATGCAGATTAGACATGCTCAGTAAGTGAATTATTTTAGCTTTGGTTTTTAATAAATGAAAGAGAGATTGGCAATTAGCCTTAAAAAATACATGGTGCCTAAATTCCGTTTGGTCCTCATGCCGGTTCTAGATAGCGACACTCACACGTCGTTTACGGAGGTGCTTCACAATGACAGCTGCGAACGCAATCTAAATCGTCCAACCTTCCTCCACCCAGTGCAAAATTCATGTGGAACACTGACTGTAATATTTCAAATCCTGGCGTCAATTTTTAAATAGAAACTGCTGAAATGTCCATTGGTTTTTGTTTGGTTGGTTTTAGTACCAATCCAGTCCAAAGAGTACCTTCCTCTGAAATTTTCTAGACACGTTTTCCCATCAAATGTTTTTTGAAGCAATGAAATATCTTTTAAGTGAAATCACACACAGAGTCTCTTTATGCAAAACAAGGAACTAAGCTTTGCCCTCAGAGCTCCAGGAAGCACGTTCAGTAGACCACTGGGTCCCCAGGCATCTGACCCTGGCCCATGCTTGTATGGCAGATATCATTTTATGTACGTCTGTAACCGGAGTCCTCCAACTTGGCGCTCTCTGTGTCCTCAAGGAAGTGAGGACATGCAATACATTGACAATTTGCTTTAAAGTGTCAAGGGTGACTTTGATCTTTCCATGTTCCCCACGGGACCGGAGCATGGCACTTCACCCATGGAGGTATCCAGGTACTGCAGCAGGAGGAATTCTGGCCATGGCGCTTGTTTAACAGGCTTCTGCAGCCCAGGTGCTGAGGTTCACTACACTCTCTTCCCATTGCTTTTTGACCAAATAGAAGAGTATTGTGGCTTTGCCAATGCTCTTTGAACCCCCTGGAACCCACGTGAGAAAGTCTTGCAGCACCGTCCTGCTGTGGCCATTTACACCCACGGAGCCATGGCAGCTCTGTTTGTATTTATCAAGAGTGCACTGGGCTCCTTTCCCACCTCCTTCACCAAGCTTCGCCCCCTGCCCATCCTACTGTAATATGCTGGGAGCAGCACTGCCCGGATTAATGTTCTAATGTTCTTCTCTAACTCTCCACATGGCGAGACAGTTCTGTGGTAAGGTGGTTGGATGCCGGTCCGGGGAAGAGAGAATTTCATCCCAAGCGCTGTAGGATCCACTTAAGCTTTCTTGAAACAGATCAACTGAATGGGACTTTGCAGGTTCTGCCTTCGCCTCCCATCACCCACACCTCCCCAGGTATGTGCGGTCCCCTCGCCGGCACCCAGGTGTGAGCGGTACCCTCCAGGCGCCCCATGTCTGCAGCCTCCATCGCCTGACTCCTAACAACTATGCTTTTTTTCTCAAACTGGCCACTATTAAAATCTGATGTCAGCTAGTTGACAAGTGGAAATGATTTGATAGACTATTTCACAGGGAAGTACACATGACTGATGAAAACCCTGCTGTCGGGACTAAGGAGCTTCGTGTTAGTAGGAAAAATCATTTTTGACCAATGCAGTGAAAGTAATGGTGGTGGCCGGGTGCTGTGGCTCACGCCTGTAATCCCAGCACTTTGGGAGGCCAAGACAGGCAGATCATGAGGTCAGGAGATTAAGACCATCCTGACTAACACGGTGAAACCCTGTCTCTACTAAAAATACAAAAAAATTAGTTGGGCGTCGTGGTGGGAGCCTGTAGTCCCAGCTACTCGGGAGGCTGAGGCAGGAGAATGGCGTGAACCCGGGAGGCAGAGCTTGCAGTGAACCGAGATCCCGCCCAGTGCCCTCCTTCCCTGGGGGACAGAGGGAGACTCCGTTTCAAAAAAAAAAAAAGTAATGGTGGTTTCAGTAACTGGAAGAGCTTTCTGGGTAGGATAAGGGGGGCTTTCCCAATCCTCCCGGGTTGCTTCCCACAGACCACAGCCAGTCCAGCTTTGAGAACACACAGTGTGCCTGCCCCCTGTGCTTCCACACAGCCTCTCCTCATGCAGAAGGCACGCAAAGAAAAAAAAAAGCAGTATATTCTGCAATACACCTCATAACTTCTTACCTTTGTATAAAACTGAGGCCATGAAACCAGGTAATTTTTGCCTGCTAGAGCTGTGTGAAATCTTTCAAAAAATATTAATTTTTACATAATAAACTGTTGCATTTCTGCTAGGCTAGGTTGTATAAAACGTGTTTTGAGCAATTACTGTGTGTCAGGAGATAAGCAAATATTGAGTCATAAAAAGAAAATAGTCATTGTCACTGAGGTCTTTGTCCTGGAGGAAGTTTCCTGCACGAATTTGAGAATATCTGTTTTAAATACAGCTTCGAACATTATCAACTGTTGTATTTTCTTAATACATCTTACAAATTTATAATTTGTAAATGTATTTTTACTGGGTGTATTTTGAGTAACTAAAATTATGAGCATTTGGAGAAGGCTGGAAAATCCAAAGTCAACATCCATCTAACATTAAATGAATAAGCTACCCAGAGAATTTGTCTAGGTTTTAATTTCTTATCAGGATGCTTTGGGGGGCTTGATAGCATGGTTCAGAGTTGTATGAAATTCTAGGCAGCTATGAGAATTCTACTAGAACCTGGAATAGCCTGGAAATGTCAGAGCCTCTTCTTATCCTAGTCCTTATAAAGGAGGAAGCTGTGCATGTAAATCTATAAGAGCCTGGGCAGGAGGGAAACTCTTTCATTACTTATTTTCATGGGAAAGAGAAATAAATCTTTAGCCTCGAGAGCTTTGGCAATGCCTGTAACTCCTATTTGTTGGAAGCTATCATACAAGACACAACTGTGTTCCTGAGAAATGAGGAATTGCCTCAGATCACACAGCTGGAAATCAGCTCTAAAGGTCTCCAGCTCTCTTGTTATTCTCACGTTTTCTTCTTTGTCAAGTGGAGGAAAACACCTTAGTAAGGAATCCTCTATGAGACTATGTTCTATATCAAAGAGCAGAAGAACAAAATCAGTGCCAATTATCAACATTCTCAGTGCTCCCATCAGCTATGGTGGTGTTCCTAGGATCCATGCTGGTCTCCGCCAGGGGTAGGAGTTTCCCAGGTGCGTCCTTCAGAGCTGTGACCTCAGCATGGCACCGGGTGTCCAGCGGGTTCCCCTCCAGATAGGAGACCTTGAGTTCGTTCTCACAGACAGGAGACCTTGAGTTTGTTCTCACAGATAGGAGACCTTGAGTTTGTTCTCAGCTTCTCATGTTTTAAGTGTAAGTCAGCTCCCCACTGGCCAAACAGGAAGGACTAACACCTGAGATCCAGCCCTGAGCTTCCAGATGGGGCTGCCTGGCATCCCAGATGATGCTGAGGTTAGGTACCCGTGTCCCTGGCCATTGTGAGCCTATTTTGGGGCCTGGCAAGCTCGGGGTGGGCCAGGCCTCAGAGTAACACACGTCACTGGCTGATGGTGCCCTGAGAGTTTGCAAGAACTAACTTTCAAACATGGAAATGCAGAGCACAGGGGGTTGGGCCAAAAATTAGATCCTCTAGGTTGGTTACATTTGACCCTGCAGGACCACCGGACAGGCCTGGGAAGCATCTGTGGAGGTATCAAAGCTGTCCTCCTCCTCACACTGGCCTGAACAAGCTGAGAAATGAGACAAGGAGTGAAGGTGAAGCCCCAGGGTGGTCTTTCTGGCCAGTAAAGACGAAGCTGAAGGTAGGAGCATGGTGTGAAAGCTGAGAGGCTGCAAGAGCCTGAGAGTCTGCGGGAGCTCACAGTCAGGTGCCCAACGGCATTCCTCGTGCCTCTCTGCAGTCCACGCTGATGGTAGTGTGGTGTGAACCCAGATAAACTGATCAGCACACCAGATTTACCAGCCAGCCTCATCTATCCCCTGCCCTGTGAGTGCCGTGAATAAGTGGCAAGGACAGTGGGAAGGAGGGGAAGGTGCCCCCAGCACCCAAGTGCAGGCTGGATTCCCAGGCATCTCATCCTTATCCCTCCAGCTTATCTTCTGGGTGCATGTGTCCCAGTGGCAGGATCAACTCAAACCCAGGGAGTTTCGGCAATTGCTTTTGCTTATCCATTATATTTCTCCTAAATAGTAACTTTTTTGGAGAAAGGATGGTAATTATCAATGTCACACAAGGCCCCAGCCTCTGATTTAGTGCTGCAGGGCCCTGAGGACAGTTCCAATGCTTGGGATCCATTATTAAGACTCAGAGATGATGAGGGGGAAACCACAGCCAGGTTAGAAATTAAATATACTCTTCTGGGCTGAGTATAAAGGAATAGCTACTGCTGGCCTGTGAGAAGCTGTAATAACTAGTATAAATCATTAACAATGAGGACATAGACTCCCCTAAAGCCACCCTTTCCGCTCAACTGTGAACCTTCCCGGTTTTGAGGCGTGGAAGTTTAGGACAAACCGTCCTCGACTGAGCACTTTGCAGAGAAGGTTATTAGCCCTGCGAGGGGACTGTGCTCTCAGGAGAGCTGCACATAAAATGACCAGGAAGGAAATAGCAGCAACTTCTCAAATTAGCATAATTAGTAATTATCTCTTAATAGCCCCACTTGGCTTTAGAGACTTGGCACTTGAAATTCTGCTTAAAGTTCAGTGAGGAAAAACAAATTTCATGCTGAAATGTCTCAATAACACAGCTGAGCTGCTAAGGTAGTTGTCTGGTTGAGGTAAGGGAAGGAGAGGGGTGTGTTGACGTGCCAAGGGCTTCCTGTAAGAAGAGCTAGGCATGGGGTCATCTATACAGAGAGAAAGCATGGGAAGCATCATTGGAACTCTCCCACTAGCACTCTTTGAAGATACTTTCAGAATGTTCCCCCCTTGGAAGCTCAAGTCACCACCTGTGCTTAGGGTCACTCTTTCTAATGACACATAATTCAGCTTCCTTCAGATCAAAAGTCTCTCCAAAGTAAAGACAATATGAAAAGGAAAAATGGAAAAGAAAGCCCGGCTTCCACATCATAGTCAGCAGCTAACAAACATTGCACAAACCTTGCTGCTTGCTCATTGGAATTCAAATCCAAATAAGATTCACAAAGAAATTAGAGTCTGTGGCAAGAAAACAGATGGATTCTTTCTAATTTTTATGAAGACATGCTTGGCAGGACGTAGAGAAGACATAACTACAGTTTTACAAGACTAAACAACATCCCTCTTTAGGCAAGAAATACTTTCCCCCTCATCAGAGGGAACTTGTGTTATTAATTAGCTGTGTACATTGTAGCAATTTGCAGAAAGTCTAAACCATCCCCTTAAGAGACTTAGCACAAACACTGTACTAGCTTTATTATAAAAGGCAACATAAGTAGGTCTCCACTTAGCGACTTCCATAGAGAGACTCATTCAGCACTAGAGCAGGAAATACCTATGAAACAGTCATTCTTAGTTTAGATCAATGGGGTCAGCATGGAGGCTGAGAAGGTTTCTCAGGACCCGACGTGACCTCCCCTCCTCCCTCCATATTTAAAATGTTCCCTGCGTGGCCTCCTCCTTTCCTTACCTCAGGTGTGTCTTGCGTCCACCACCACAGTCCTCTCCTATGGATTTCCACCCATGCCCTCAGCCCTCTGCTCACATACAGCAAGGGTTGCATGTTCACAGGTGTGGCTTGCAGGCTGGAGGATGGATTCTGCAGTGACTGTAGAAAGAAGGAAAAAGGATTTCATATGTGATGGTGACGTGGTGTGTGCCAAGTGCTTCTGTGTGTACATCCTCGTCAAATCCTCACTGTGACCCCAGGAGGGAGATGCTACTATTCCCATTTTACAGAAAAGGAAAATCTTGCCCTAAAATGATATTGAATTTAGCAAAACTAGGACTTGAACCTGAATGTCTCCCAGGACCCCGGCTGCCCCCAAAGCCCATGCCTCTCCTTGAACATTCTTCTTCTTGTAGCTTTTCCTGCAAATTCTTGATTGGCGTCTTGACTAAAGGGCCTTGTGTCTTGTTGTCTGCCAGCACAGACCCTGGCTGAAAGATTCTGACCAGGAAGGAGGCAAACATATTCATACTTCCCTTTCCATTGAAAATTAATACATATTTAGTCAGGGCAGATTTTCCCAAGTAAATGCATTCTTTCCTTTGAGGAGCAGATTGGGCTTCTCAGACCAAGGCTTGGTGTGGGGTCTGCCCTGGTTAAACTGCAGGTAGGCACCCTGGCGTTGGGAGCCCAGGGTCCCTTTTCTTCATCCCCTTTGATCTTCTCACCTCTCCTGCAACATAGAAAACTCCCCTGAGTTCCTATAATCTTCCACTTTGAACAGGCATCAAAAGATACGAGTTAAACTAGAATCTCTGCTATGGAGAAACTGGAACCCCAAGGGACAGAAGGCAGCCCGCACGGAGCAGAGCCCCAGACAGAGCTGCGGCTTGCCTCTGCCTTCCAGCATTGCATACCTGTCATTTCCACCCTCATGTGAGCACAAGCTACCGTGTCATTTTCCTGAAGGGACCTGGGTCTTAGGCTTTAACACATTGTAGAATGTTAACAACTCTGAATACAGTATTTTTCATGATGAGAAAAAATGGAGGCCAGAAACTCTTTTTAGAGCCCCCTGCAACCTCTCCCACTGACCAGTGCTGACTCTGCTGTGTGTGGACCGGGCTGGTCCCCCAACAAGCAGAGGACCAATCAGACAAAGGTCTGAATTCTGTGCTGCCTGCAGGAAACAGCTTTAACCAAGCTTCATCTTCACAGTCTTCTGAGCCAAATGTCTAGTTTATAAAGAAAGGAGATGAAATGTATACATTTGGAGAAGTCTAACTGTGCCGAACCAAGCCCAGGAAGGCATCCCTGTATAGTGGTTAACCCACACTCTCCAGACAGCCCGAGTCTGCCCGTCCTCAGGTGAGGCACAGTTCTGCACAGGAACCACTCTCCACCTAACAGACCAGGCCACGGGATCGATTTTCAAACACCATCTTCATCAAGTAACAAGATTAATTTTCCGCATCAGGACGTCTCAAAGGCTACATTAGGAAACCGGATTCAAAAGACAATGTGGAGAAAATGCCTGCTTGTGAGAAGACCACTGGCCAAAGACGCTACAAATCAAGATTAAGATGAGCTCTCACTGGGGCAGACAAACGTTCACAGAAAATTCTGGAAAACGGGGTGCATGAGGATTTGAAGCCCCGTGGGACACACCCCTCTATTCCTCCTTCGGAGTCTTCCCTCTGCCTCCTCTGACGAGGTGGATCTGAGGTGGCATCAGTGAAAGGAGGCGCCTATGGGCAGGTCCTGGGCAGATCGGGGCCGCGGTGCTGAGCTGTGCGCCGGTGCAGGAATCCGGGACACCGCGTGAAGGAAGCACCTGTAAAGGAATCCAGGGGAAAAGGGCATATTTTCTGGAAACAATGTTTGTTGTGATCGAAATAATTTTGATATCCATTTGATGAAATAAAAATCCTAAACTTTTTCTGTGGGGTGTATCTCCCTCTTCACTCTGGACCGGGTACCTGAAGAGAGGAACGCATGAAGCCATGTCAGGAGGCCCCGGGGAAACCCTTTGCCCAAAGAAAATCCCACTTCCTGCCCAATGAAACCCTACTTCCTGCCCAACAAAAACCCCACTTCCTGCCGTTCACCACTCTGGTGTCCCTGGAGAGGTTGTCCTCAGTGGAGGGTGTGATTCTTTTGTTCCCCATCAGTCTCCTCCTGTTATAAGGCCAGTGTTGTCTTTCTGATTAGCACGTCAATGTGTGTTTATTTAATGGAGTAAGATTTTTGACTTCACACACAGGCAGAAGATAAAAATACCTGAGAAACCAGGCTTCTGATTCTCAATTACTGCAGAAAGCAACATCATCCTGCAGATTCTAGTCCAGCGCCAGGCCCTCTGTTTGTTGAAAAGTAGGACTGTTTTCCTTTGAAATAAAAATACTTGGAGGAATCAAAAGGTACCGAAAATACTCTCCTGGAACACCATTTGGATTTGTTGCCTTGAGAAGAAGAAATCACTGCAGCACAAAATGTGTTGCCTGAATATGTAAATACCTGTGGCTGGCCTTCTGGCTTCTGGGACAAAGGCCAGCCCACAGGAAAAACAGCAAAGGAGAGGAGATTTTTGAAGCCTAGGGGTGCTCACCTCTTCTACTCCCAAGCTGTTCCTATTCCCCAGTTCTCTTTGTACCCATTTCTCACCATTTTTCATGCATGGAATGTTCTGCTTCTGAAAGGCAAGAAACATGGTCAGCCATGTCGATAAGTATGGCCTTGACCCTAGTCAAGCTCTACTCAGGAGAGAAAAAGCATCACCTATGCTTCCAGGGTAGGGAGCGAAAACACTAGCGTTTTAGCAAAGTGAATTTGAGCACACAGCTGATTCTGTACATTCTCTGCTCTCTGATAAAAGCAAGTCAACATTTGATGCTGCTCACATTACCGTCATTCACTGCAGCTCCACTAATCACAGCTAATGGCTGGTAAAGCATTCATGTGTACTAGAACCTCAGCTAAAGAACAAAAAACAAGAAGATAAAATGGTAAACATAAATTTAAAATAAGGCATTAAACCACTGTAATTCACCGTGAAGTGTTTTGTCACTTTCTGATCCTAGAATAGCTAGGGAAGCAATACTTAAGAGAAAAAAAAAATCAATCAAAGCAAAATTTGATCTCCAAATTCAAATAACTTCCCAAGTATACCTCTCATTGTCCCTGTGAGTCATTATCCACAGAGGCGGACGGCAGCTATCCCTGGAACCCTCAGAGCAGCACAATATTGAGAGGCCTCACACGCTTCTTTGTAAGAACAGCTTTAGGTGGAGACAGTAAAATCATCTGATGGTGAATGATGGGAATAAATAGATTGCTTCACCTTAATTGCCGCACCCTGCATTTCAGGACAGTTATGTCTGAAATTTTCAGATTAAGCTTGTTCTCTACAAAACTGTCTGTAAACAATCTCCATTGCATTCTGTTCATTAACCCCCGCTCAGCTGCCTGCCTAACATCCTGAGAACCTACCTGGCCTTGCAGCCCTTCTCACCCCATCTGCCGCCTCTCCTCCTGCTGCTGCCCTGGGGCTCCGGTGACACTGTGATCAAGTGACCCAGTCCGTCCTCTCCGGTCCCCCAGGACCCCTGGTGCCATCCACGTCAGCTGCCTTGTCCATCATACCGGCCACTCTTCCAGACCACACTACCCTCCCCAGCCACAAAACCGGCATAGAGTGGGCAGAGGCACCATGTAGAATGCAGCCCCTGCAACCCTGCCAAGCACAGCCGCCTTGGCCCATCCACCTGTGTCCTCAAAGTGTCAAAGTGGTTTCGTCATTAGATCAAGAGGACTTTAGGGTCTAAGCCATTCTGAGGCTACAGAGGTTTGGAAAATGTGAAGAAATGCCACTTTAATTAAATAATTTTAAAAATCAACCTACATTTGTTTCTTTATTTTTTTAATGAAATTATGGGATTTCAGCTGCAATTTTTTTCACACATATTGAAAAGCTTTGAAAGGACTTCTCCCAGGGCTTTGCCTGTGGGTCTGTGCTCATGGGGTTATTGCCTCTGAGACTCATGGCTGGGTGGTGCCCACGCCCTCATGGTCTCCCCTGCACCCTTTTCCTGCTCAAATGATAAACTGCTGGGCTCCTCAGTGAGAGAGTGGAGGCTCAGGCTGGCATATGCAAGCTCACCGTTCTCAATACTCCCTGCCCCTTTAACATCTTGACCCACACTAGCTTTTTTATCATTCTGTGCTTCCAGGCTCTCTGAGACCCTATCAGATTTATTCTTTGTAATAATATCAATAATCCCACATGATTCCAAACCACTTTATATGTACCCCTCACAAAACCCCAGAGTTAGATGCTTTAACTCAGACGTCTCCAGCCCCCGGGCCAAGGACTGGTACTGGTCCAGGACCTGTTAGGAGCTGGGCTGCACAGCAGGAGGTTAGTGAGCAAGGCTTCATCTATATTTACAGCCACTCTCTGCCACTCACATTATGTCTGAGCTCTGCCTTCTGTCAGGTCACAGTGGCATTAGATTCCTATAGGAGTGGGGATCCTATTGCTAACTGTGCTTGTAAGGGATCCAGGTTGCAGACTCCTTATGAAAATCTAATGCCTGATGATCTGTCACTGTCTCCCATCATCCCCAGGTGGGGCCATCGAGTTGCAGGAAAACAAGCTCAGGACTCCCACTGATTCTACATTATGCTGAGTTATATAATTATTTCATTATATATTACAATGTAATATTAATAGAAATAAAGTGCACAATAAATATAATGTGCTTGAATCATCCTGAAACCATCCCTGCAGCCCCCAGTCCATGGAAAAATTGTCTTCCACAAAACCAGCCATCCCTGGTGCCAGAAAGGTTGGGGACAGGACCGCTGTCTTACAGCAAGAGTGAGGCTGCTCCTGGATTCCTGACCCACAGGAAGTTAGATATAGTGTTTGTTCTTTTAAGATACTAACTCTTGAGGTAACTTGTCACAAAGCAATAGATAGCTAATGTAGCATCCAATAAACAAACTAAAATCAATCACGGCTTGCTAGGTCTTCCCCCTGGCTGAACACCACCTCTTAGGAGTGAGTCCCCTGTGAAAGTCGCAAGGTCACTCATTCCCGTGGTTGACCGCATTTAACAAAAGGTGAATCCAGTTGAAAGCCAGTGTATAGTGAACAGTGGTCAAAAGATTTGGTGGACTTAATATGGCCAAATGCTACTTTCAAAAAACACCTTGCTTTCAAAGAAACGCTCCCAGATACAATGACCATTGGGTTCTCTTACCTAAAAAGCACACAAGGCTGCAAGATGAAAAATTCATCTGAGGATTCAGGCAAAATCATCAATTAATCATTTTAAGATTATTATGCTAAACAGCTAATAATCTGTTTTATCCTATTTGATGCAAAATCTCCCCATTCTATTTTTAAGGGAGATGTGACTCCACATACCTCACTTTCCAGTTCTTGCATCGTCTCCTGCACCATCAACTCTCCCCTCTCTGCTGGATCATCCCTGCCTACTCAAACACACACTACTATTTCTCTTGTCTTAAAAAAGTCTCCCCCCACCCCTCAGCCTCCTCACTGCTCACCAGCATCCAGGCTCCAAGCCTTTGCACCTGCTGTGCCTCGGGGTGGAGCTCCACTCCTCCAGGTCCCCACAGGCCCCATCCTCTATTCCCTTAGAAGTACGCTAAAATGTCACCCTCCTCATCAGGTGTTCCCTGGATGCCCCTTCAACCTGCAGCCCCCACCCCCTTGCTATTTATGCCCATGCCCTCCACCCATGAAAATGCTCAGTTCCACTAGGACTGAAGCCCTCATCCTTTTTTCCTTTTAATTGCTGTATCTGGAGAACTCAGATGAGCCCCTGGTGTAGCACGTGCTTACATGTGCAGTGAATCAGTGAACGGGTCTGCTTCTCCATGCAACTCGCTATCCCACACTCAAAATCATTCTGTATTCATTGTGTTTGTGTCTTTTTTCTGATAATACAATTACTGAAGATTCATTGCAGAAACTTCTGAAAATACTGAAAAGTGTTAGTAAGACAATGAAAATGAGTCCCTACCATCTGAAGATAACAGTAGCTAATTCTTTACTGCTTATAACTGTAGCAAGTGGTTCATACCTTGAATCTTGCATTGCAATCTGCTTTTAAAAATAACCCATACTCATCATCGCATGTGGTGAAACATTCCTCTAAAGGAGGGCCAGTCTGAGATCTTGTCTGAACTTGTGGGAGAAAATCAGCGAGAGCACTGCCAGTGAGGCATTCATTCTCAAATGTGGGGCCCAGAGAGGCCGGCAGGAGCATGTACCCTGGGGAATGGGGGCAGAAGGTCTTACAGTGCTCAAGCAAAGCAGGGTCACTGGAGTTCAGTGAGTCTGAGAATAGAGGGGTGACTTTTGTGGATTAGCAGCCATCGCTTGGACAATCTGGATTTTAATCAAGACAGGTGGAGAGAAAAGGGAAGAGAGTGATGGACATGGAGGAAAATCCCCAGATTTTCGGGATTCCCTACCTGCCCAGGTGCTGGGACAGAGAGACCTCAAGAGAGAGGAAGAGTCAAGGGCCCCAGACCCTCACCCTCTTCCTTCATCTTCCCTCCTCAGCCTTTGTATTCAAGAGGGGTTTGAGGGTCGTCTCTAAAACATGGTGACTGCATGGTAATTCCATCTAATGAATGGGTTATGGTTATCCACTACTGTCAAAATTGAGTTTAATTCAAAAATTGTGCTTTTATACAGAGTGCTACAATGATGAGTTGTTCTCATACTTAAGTCTGTATATTTGCCTTATGCATTTGAAGGTGGATGAACAATTCCATTATCAGTCATTGGTAGATTCACCCTGTGGGATGCAGCATTCTCTGTCCTGGTCACATACAGAAAGGAGCCTCCACCTCATCTTCAGGGAATGGCCAATCAGGGCTTCTACATCAGCAGGTGAACTCTGAGCATGACTCTCTCTCCCACTTCTTTCTCTTTGTCTTTCTTTAAATTTCACAGTCTTTCTTCATTTCCCTCAAGCCAAGCATACACACGCCTCTATACCATGGAATGTATTGACGAGCGCCTGGTCTCCCGGTGGAGTGGGATTGAGTGTATTGGCGAGCGCCTGGTCTCCCGGTGGAGTGGGATTGCGTGTACTGGTGAGCGCCTGGTCTCCCTGTGGAGTGGGATTGCGTGTATTGGCGAGTGCCCGGTCTCCCGGTGGAGTGGGATTGCGTGTATTGACTAGCGCCTGGTCTCCCGGTGGAGTGGGATTGCGTGTATTGGCGAGTGCCTGGTCTCCCGGTGGAGTGGGATTGAGTGTATTGACGAGCGCCTGGTCTCCCGGTGGAGTGGGATTGTGTGTGTTGGCGAGTGCCCGGTCTCCTGGTAGAGTGGGATTGCGTGTATTGACTAGCGCCTGGTCTCCTGGTGGAGTGGGATTGAGTGTATTGGCGAGCGCCTGGTCTCCTGGTGGAGTGGGATTGTGTGTGTTGGCGAGAATGCCTGGTCTCCCGGTGGAGTGGGATTGAGTGTATTGGCGAGCGCCTGGTCTCCCGGTGGAGTGGGATTGCGTGTATTGGCGAGCGCCTGGTCTCCTGGTGGAGTGGGATTGCGTGTATTGACTAGCGCCTGGTCTCCCGGTGGAGTGGGATTGCGTGTATTGGCGAGTGCCCGGTCTCCTGGTGGAGTGGGATTGCGTGTATTGACTAGCGTCTGGTCTCCCGGTGGAGTGGGATTGCGTGTATTGACTAGCGCCTGGTCTCCCGGTGGAGTGGGATTGCGTGTATTGGTGAGTGCCTGGTCTCCCGGTGGAGTGGGATTGAGTGTATTGACGAGCGCCTGGTCTCCCGGTGGAGTGGGATTGTGTGTATTGGCGAGTGCCCGGTCTCCTGGTAGAGTGGGATTGCGTGTATTGACTAGCGCCTGGTCTCCCGGTGGAGTGGGATTGAGTGTATTGGCGAGCGCCTGGTCTCCTGGTGGAGTGGGATTGTGTGTGTTGGCGAGTGCCTGGTCTCCCGGTGGAGTGGGATTGAGTGTATTGGCGAGCGCCTGGTCTCCCGGTGGAGTGGGATTGCGTGTATTGGCGAGCGCCTGGTCTCCTGGTGGAGTGGGATTGTGTGTGTTGGCGAGTGCCTGGTCTCCCGGTGGAGTGGGATTGAGTGTATTGGCGAGCGCCTGGTCTCCCGGTGGAGTGGGATTGAGTGTATTGACGAGCGCCTGGTCTCCCGGTGGAGTGGGATTGTGTGTGTTGGCGAGTGCCCGGTCTCCTGGTGGAGTGGGATTGCGTGTATTGACTAGCGCCTGGTCTCCCGGTGGAGTGGGATTGCATGTATTGGCGAGCGCCCGGTCTCCCGGTGGAGTGGGATTGCGTGTATTGACTAGCGTCTGGTCTCCCGGTGGAGTGGGATTGTGTGTGTTGGCGAGTGCCTGGTCTCCCGGTGGAGTGGGATTGAGTGTATTGGCGAGCGCCTGGTCTCCCGGTGGAGTGGGATTGAGTGTATTGACGAGCGCCTGGTCTCCCGGTGGAGTGGGATTGTGTGTGTTGGCGAGTGCCCGGTCTCCTGGTGGAGTGGGATTGCGTGTATTGACTAGCGCCTGGTCTCCCGGTGGAGTGGGATTGAGTGTATTGGCGAGCGCCTGGTCTCCCGGTGGAGTGGGATTGTGTGTGTTGGCGAGTGCCCGGTCTCCTGGTAGAGTGGGATTGCGTGTATTGACTAGCGCCTGGTCTCCCGGTGGAGTGGGATTGAGTGTATTGGCGAGCGCCTGGTCTCCTGGTGGAGTGGGATTGCGTGTATTGGCGAGCGCCTGGTCTCCTGGTGGAGTGGGATTGTGTGTGTTGGCGAGTGCCTGGTCTCCCGGTGGAGTGGGATTGAGTGTATTGGCGAGCGCCTGGTCTCCCGGTGGAGTGGGATTGAGTGTATTGACGAGCGCCTGGTCTCCCGGTGGAGTGGGATTGTGTGTGTTGGCGAGTGCCCGGTCTCCTGGTGGAGTGGGATTGCGTGTATTGACTAGCGCCTGGTCTCCCGGTGGAGTGGGATTGCGTGTATTGGCGAGTGCCCGGTCTCCTGGTGGAGTGGGATTGCGTGTATTGACTAGCGTCTGGTCTCCCGGTGGAGTGGGATTGCGTGTATTGACTAGCGCCTGGTCTCCCGGTGGAGTGGGATTGCGTGTATTGGTGAGTGCCTGGTCTCCCCGGTGGAGTGGGATTGAGTGTATTGACGAGCGCCTGGTCTCCCCGGTGGAGTGGGATTGTGTGTATTGGCGAGTGCCCCGGTCTCCCTGGTGGAAGTGGGTTTGCGTGTATTGACTAGCGCCTGGTCTCCCGGTGGAGTGGGATTGAGTGTATTGACTAGCGCCTGGTCTCCCGGTGGAGTGGGATTGAGTGTATTGGCGAGCGCCTGGTCTCCCGGTGGAGTGGGATTGAGTGTATTGGCGAGCGCCTGGTCTCCCGGTGGAGTGGGATTGCGTGTATTGGCGAGCGCCTGGTCTCCCGGTGGAGTGGGATTGCGTGTACTGGTGAGCACCTGGTCTCCCGGTGGAGTGGGATTGCGTGTATTGGCGAGTGCCCGGTCTCCCGGTGGAGTGGGATTGAGTGTATTGGCGAGCGCCTGGTCTCCCGGTGGAGTGGGATTGCGTGTATTGGCGAGCGCCTGGTCTCCCGGTGGAGTGGGATTGCGTGTACTGGTGAGCACCTGGTCTCCCGGTGGAGTGGGATTGCGTGTATTGGCGAGTGCCCGGTCTCCCGGTGGAGTGGGATTGAGTGTATTGGCGAGCGCCTGGTCTCCTGGTAGAGTGGGATTGCGTGTATTGGTGAGCGCCTGGTCTCCAGGTGGAGTGGGATTGCAGTATGCTGCAGCTGGCAGTGGATGCATCTTTAATTTGATAACGCTTAAAATCACTGCAGTGTCAGCCTTGACCAAATGAGGTTTAAAAAAAGTCATTTGCAGCCAGGCATGGTGGCTCATGCCTGTAATCCCAGCACTTCGGGAGGCCGAGGTGGATGTATAAGTTGAGGTCAGGAGCTTGAGACCAGCCTGGCCAACATGGCGAAACCCAATCTCTACTAAAAATACAAAAGTTAGCTCAGCCTGGTGGTGGGTGCCTGTAATCCCAGCTACTCAGGAGGCTGAGGCAGGGAGAACTGCTTGAACTTGGGAGGCAGAAGTTGCAGTGACCCAAGATAATGCCATTGCATTCCAGCCTGAGCGACAGAGCAAGATGCCATTTAAAAAATAATAATAATAAATTTTTTAAAAGTCATTTGCCCCTTCAACTCTTTCTACCTTCACTGTTTTTATTACAATTAAGTCTATTTTTGAATGTTCTGCTCCACCTTTAACTACCCTTTTACACAACACACAGATGTGCCTTTTTCCAACATTAGAAGTTGCTTTTTCCATCAAGTTTTTACTCCTATGCGTCTCTCATACCCAGCTGCAGTGTCAGCCCAGGGATGTTCTGGGAATTATGGATGAGGATGTTCGAATTTTTTCTTCCATGAGCAACATATTGTTATTCCAACAAGAAAGGGGATCTTCAGCTGTCTGGAAGGCAGGAAGAGGAAGCGTATGTCTCTCCCCCATGCTCTGTGCATGACATCGGAGGTCGCAGAGCCCCCTCCAGTGGCTGTGGAGACCGCCTTTGTTGAAGGTGGCTCTCAAAGGTCAGAGTGGCCTCCAAGCTCTATTCCTCATTCCACGGGTGGCAATGTTCCGTGTCCCGCACCTGCTAATGGGTGGCATCTTCAGTGTAGGGGAAAACTTGATTAAGGCTGTTCATAAGAAAGAGAAAAAGCAACACCTACAATTTTAAAAGAAAAGGAGTTTTAAGTCTTTACCATCTGATTAAACATGTTGGTACGTGGGACAGGGAGCATGTGAGTAACTACTAAAGAGGGAAGCCAGAGAGGGCAGTGGGAGAGGTAGAGATGTTGATTTATTAATATGTAACCATTGGAAACCCATCATTCTAACAAAGGTGTGTAGTTTTTCTGACAGGTGAAAGTCGCGTATTATTGTTTAATGTTTAGAGAACTGCATAAGAAACTATCCATTCCCAACCGCTCCTCACAGCCCAGTAACCTGACTTCTGCCTTGCTGTACTTCTTGAGAGGAACCTTCAAATAGGGATGAATTCACGGTTACGGAGTAAGCAAGTCGAAAGAGAAGTTGCAGGGAGTCGGGGCATTTGGGGGATGACAGGATCCACTGAAGAATTCCATCAGGGCTTCAATACACCGTGCTCAGGTCACGGGCCCCAACTGGTTCCGGGCTTTTCCGTCAGCCCGCCGGGGACTCACACTGCAGCACATCCTGGGAGCATGCAGAGGGAGCCTGTGGGGTTTCTCTTCCCACCCACCCTTGTCTGGGGTTCAGGATGGACACACAAAGCAGCCAATTTCTCATTAGAGAAGACAGCATTTCAGTATCAACTGTGGGGCTTCTTTTGGAGTTTTGCTGATCTGTGTAGATGAATCTTTTCTCACTTTCTCAATGTCTTCCTAGTTTTTCTTTCTCACCAAGTTTCTTCTCACCGTCTTGTGCATCGATGCCTCCAGTGATGGGGCAGGTTTGAGCCACGTGTTCTCTGTGTCTGTCTCGCTCAGTGTTCAGTCAATGTTCACACTACTGACTTGCTGGCATCTGAAAACTGAGCAACAAGGAAGACAAGAGGGGAGAAGACCTGGAACATGTTGCTTTCAAGGAAATCTCATCAGTTTCCCTGGATTTTGTTTGATTTTCCTTTCGGAAGAGAGGCTGACCCTCTTGCCACAGGGCTGTGGGGAATGTGTGTGTTTAGGTGTGTGGGTGGGCAAATAACCAGACCCACAGCAGTGTTCGCACACAGAGGCCCGAGCAGCCCCCACCCAGATGAGCAGGGAGGTGGATTCAAGAGAAGAAACAGAAATGAAAACCTTTAGATCAGGGGTGTCCAATCTTTTGGCTTCCCTGGGCCACATCAGAAGAAGAACTGTCTTGGGCCACACATAAAATACACTAACATTAACGATAGCTAATAAGCTAAAAAAAAAAAATCACAAAATAATCTCATCATGTTTTAAGAAAGCTTACAAATTTGTGTTGGGCATTCAAAGCCATCATGGGCTGCATGTGGCCCATAGGCTGCAGGTTGGACAAACTTGCTCTAGAAGCTGGTGGAGGCTGGGACCAAGGAAGGGAGTACAGGGTCAGAAGTGCCAAGGGTCACCTGCATCCACCTTGTCACAGCCTCTAGCCTCTTTGCAGTTCAGCCCCAGGTCCCAGGTCCTGAGCAGAATGCCCTACAGGAGGAGGCTACCACCCAGGCTCCAGACCCTGGGCAGGCCTGAGAAGCATTCATCTCTCAGCGGAGGCACAGCCTGTCCAGGTGGGCAGGTCCGCTGGACACTGGGAGTTCAACAGGATGCAGCTGCCAGGCCTAAATGTCTACCACCTCTGATAACATACCCTCAGAGGACAAAGCAATTGGAAAGGGCCTTTAATCACAATGTTAGGAATGGGGGTTGAAATAAAAGGCTGCTTAAAGCATAAATATTATCACTACCAAAGTAAAAAAACAGGAGAAATCATATATAATTTCCACCATTTTAAAAGACATAAATATGTGTGTATTTCCATATAAAATCTGTCACGACCTCACTCACTGCCTCTACACATGCACACACAATGCACATGAACACAAAACACACGTGCACACATATAAACGCAAAGCACAACACACGTGCATACACACAAACAGGCACATACACAATGCACATGTGCACACACAAACATGCATATACGCACATATACACAGGCATATAAACGTGACACATATATGCATGTGTGCATACACAGACACATGCAAACACATACACACAATATACATGTGTGATACTACATGCAAACATGGACATGTGTGTGCATATATGCACACAGACATGCATGGATGCACATATACACAATGCATGTGTGTGCATGTATATGTGCATGCACACATACACACGCAGGCATACACACAGGCACACCCCACACACATGCATGCACATATTCTCTCACATACACATGTGCATCCCACACACAGGCATACACATATGCACACTTTCACAATTACATCTGCACGTGTGTGCCCTCATGCATGTGTGTGTCCTCATGCATGTGTGTGTACATGGATGCACACATGTACACACACATGCATGCACTCTCACAAACACATGTACATATATACACACATGCACCCATGTGTATGCACAGACACACCTACACATGCATGTTTCCATGTATACATACACATGCATGGTCTCACATACATGTATGTTTGCATACATGCACACACATTCATGTTTCTTGCATACATGCACATACGCTCTCGCATGCATGTTTATGTGTATACATGCACACACTCTCACAAACATGCATGTTTCTGTGTATACATGCACACACAGACCTACACATGGATCTTTGCTCCTGCCCTTTGCCTCTGCCTCTTTATCTCCATAGCACTCTCACCGTCTATATATGAGATTGTTTAATAAGCTCTTAATGAATAAATGAGTGACTGAATCAATGGTAACGACCCCTAAAGTGGATAGCTTGAGGTAAAAGGAAGAAAACCGTCACTACTGAGCATCTGATGTGAGCTCTGCTCCTTGCTGTGTGAGCCTGTTAATGCTGAGAACAGCTGAGGCTCGGGGGTCACTCTGTCTGCTCTGAGCTGCACCGCTGGTAAGGGGGTTCTCAAAGTACACGGTGGGCCTGGTCGGTTCTGCAGAGCCCATTCTTGCCAGGAAGAAGAGTATCCTCACTTCACCATGCAGGGCAGCTGGTGTCTGTTTTTGTGGGTTCAGAATCAGAGGTTCCAAGAAGTGACCTGACCATCTGAGGCTGCTGGTGGTGAGTGAACCGTCTGCTGAACAGATGCGCTGTTTTCAGGCTTCCATTCTCCTCGCTGCACAAAACCCAAGAGGAGTCATATCTGGCACGGGGGGCCCATGACCCACACATCCCTGTTCATCTCGCTGCCCCTGAGAACCATGGCGAGTCGCAAGGTCTCCCTCCCGGTGCAGGCGTGGAGCTGTGTAACCTTCCATGCAGAGGCTTCACGTGAAAAGGAGCCCCAGGATGCACGTGGCTCAGGTGCCCCCTCTGCTTCCCACCCACAGGCCTCACCTTTGCTGTGAGTCATGAAGACCCCACTCCCAGACATCTGCTCATCCTAACCCCATAACCCTCCCTCCCTCGGCTCTGAGCCTGTCCAGCTCCTGCTGCTTCCA
Organism: Homo sapiens; assembly: GCF_000001405.40. NCBI lineage: Eukaryota > Metazoa > Chordata > Mammalia > Primates > Hominidae > Homo > Homo sapiens. The sequence continues at coordinate 1,694,754 of NC_000010.11, read as the reverse complement.
AAACCCGGACTGAAAAAACGTAAATGTGCTTGTCCTATTTCTCTAATTGTCCAAATGTACCTTACTTTTAGTTTCATTTCAAAATCTCTTCAATAGGATTGATCGATTTGAGTGTTGATTGTTAATTATTCTAGGGACTGACCAAGAATAAGGTGAGTCAGACCCCACCATTCCCCTGAATGGGGCCATTGCATTTATTTCCCACACACTTCACTCAGACACATTGTTAGTGGAAGGAAGTGCCACCGGTTGTGGGTCGTGCATGTACAGTTTAAAAGCCCTGATTTGTGTTCAATTAAGACTAAGTAAGAGTGAAAAATCAGTGTCCAGCTTATAGAATAGGCATACACATTGTATACACACCAGTGACCCTCAGAAGAGATTGTCTTCTACCTGACAGTTTGCAAGGCAATGGATTAGCTAAATAGCACATTACTCCAATTAATATATGAAACAATTTGCTATTTTAAGCATGAATTTCAAAAACTTTGAATTTCACAGCAAGATGTGATGCTTAATCAATATTTCTGTGTAGAGAATGCTTGTAGTAAAACCGTACAGAATATGGTTTGAGAAATACTCTTTGGAATTAAATCTGAACAAAATAATAACTGCTCTAATAATAATCAAAAGAACCAGAAAAATTACATGATGAAAACCCAAACAAGATACATAACATCAGATTAAAATATTAAAGGCTCCAAGAAGTCGATTACTAGAGAAAGATTTAAGTTTTACTGAGGCTTTTTGGCTAAAGAATCATTTCTCTGTGCAATGTCCCCTGCCATTCCAAGGAACTAGTGTTCCGTGGTACACACTTTGGGAAACCCTGTGGGGTGGACCAGGATTCCTGTATGACCAGCCTGCCCATCTGCAAGAGACACTATACAATGCCCTAATTGATTATTTAAAGGAAATTTCAATAAATCATTATTTTTCTTATGTTTCCTCAATATAACTACCATAGAAATTTGAAGTAATTTTTCTTTTAATTTAACCTTTTCTCTAGTTTGCTTCTGCAGTGACAGTCTTAGGTTAGTATTATAAACAAGGCAATATCACTATATTGAAGCTGACACATTTGTAGCCATGGTTGGAAGAGTCAAATATATTAAAGAATGAATGAATTTCAGTATCCTTTATAAGAATTTTATCATCTGTGAGTTTGCCATTAACTTCTTTTGGAAAACAATATCACAGGTCGTTTTGAAAAGAAGTAATTCTAAATTATATCCAATAGGAAAAATAATTTATTTTGTATCTCAGATTATTATTTTGAGTTATATTTTTATCCTTTTACTATATGAGGACGATGACAAAAACGAGAGAGGAGAAGATGACAGCGCTCCAGGTGGTGGCTTGGGGTCCTGTTTTGCAGTCTCCAGGTCTTCTTACCCACATTGACCATCACACAACAGCCTAGTGGTTTGCCCTCAAGGCTAGACATGGCGGCCTTGACAAGCCCTAATCTCCCCAGACTCAGATTGTTCATGTGGAAAATGAAGCGCTGAGTAGGGATTGTTGCCAAGGCCCCTTGCAGGTCAGAAACCCCAGGCTTTTACTCTCCCCGGAGCCCTCACAGCCTTCAACAGTAGACAAAGCCATTTGTTCCATAATTAGAGATAAAAGGCTTAGAAACACCTGAGGGAGTTGGCTCACGGGTGCTGATGAGTTCCACCACGTATAAGTGATGACATCAAATCCTTCCTTCTGGAGAGGGAAGAGACTTCCAAAAACTCCAGGCTTCAGGACTAGCACCTGGAGGGTGGGGAGGTCCAGTATAGGTTAGAGGCTGCATGAGGAACAGGAGTTATGAAAGCCAGCTCTGTGAGCCCAGAAGTTTGTGGATGAATAACTCTGCAAGTCTTATCAAACATGCTAACTAAAATAGTCTAACATAGAACCTTGAGATCAAAAGACTTCAATTCTGTCCTGGCTGCACCTTAGCACATATTTTGACCGTTCTTATTCTGACAGTCCACTGTTTTGTTATCCATGGCATTCATTCATTCATTAATGTATTTATTGTTTTTAAAAAAAATGTTTGTAGCCCTTCAGGAGCCAAGCAGAGAAGGTGTTTACTTTAGACAGGCCTTGTTAGCAGTCCAGTTAATTATGAACGTATAAAGCATCTGACAGGTGGATTGGACCTCCAATTCCTCCCCTTCACTGGCTGTCACTACTGAATGAGGAAACACTCCTGCTCCGTAGTCTGCCAGCCTTTTCCTAACATTCTATGCCTTGAGCAAAAACTATCCCTGCTGAATTTGGGACAGTGGACTCAATCCTATGGAAACCCCTGCTTGTCCACAAAGGCTGAATCTAAAAGTGGCCCAAGAACAGATGACTCCATGGACTCAGGCTCCCGGTGACGGCCTCCCCAGCTAACCTTGTCTGAATCCCCTTCAAACCACTTCCTGCTTTCCGAGCTTCTGGGGGCATTTAAACAAATACAAGGAGGAAACTCCTGCACAAATTAAACCAATGTCACAGGTTTAGGAAAGCTTCATTAGAAGGAAAAAATGCTCTACTGAGAATTTTAAATGTCCATGTGATGCTTTTAGGTGATAGCTCTGAATTCTAACCTCTAATCCTCAGACACTTGCTGTTGCTCCTGATGACAGAAATGTTCACTGCAGTTTTACTACTGAACACACAATGGGATTCAGACCCGTTCAGTAAGAAAATTCTGTTTATTGAGCCCTAAAGGTATGCCAGGCACTGTGCTGTGCATCAGGAGACAGCAGCGAGCGCTGAAGACACACTTTCCTTTGAAACTTAATGTTTTTTAAAATGGTGGACATTAATCCAGTAGTAGATACATGCATGCGTGCACACACACACACACACACACATTTAGTAATGACCTGGAGGCTGAGAGAGCACAGGTGACTGAGATCAGGCAGCAGCAACAGCTGCCCTATCTGGAGGGGACAGAAGTGGAATCAGGGCTAATATCTGAGCAAGACAGAGGGATGATTATGGCTCTGAGTGGGATGTGGTGGGAGGTGGTGCGGGACGAACCAGAGCAAGCAGTTGAGCCAGCCCCAGTGAGCACACAGGGAGCCATGTGTGGCCTGAAATGATTCTAGGAGCCACAGTGAAAAGGAAAAGTACGTGAAGTTGGTGTGAACAGTACATTCTATTTAGCCCAGTAAACAGTAGATGCAATTGTTACCCCTTCAACATGTAGTCAGCATTAAACATCACAGGTGAGATGTGCTGTGCATGTCATGGAGTGTGTCCTAGCCTGTAGCCAGCAGTCTCTGCTTGGATGTCATAGGTCCAAGTGCAGAGAAGAAGGACATAGACTCTGAGACACAAGAAATGAGTTCCAGGAGTAAAAAACCATTGTATTCATTTTCTGGGGCTGTCATAACAAAAGACCACAGACCAGGCAGCTTAACCAATGCAAATGCATTTTCTCACAGTCCTGGAGGCTGGAAGTCCAAGGTCAAAATGTCATCAGGGTTGGTTTCTCCTGAGGCCTCTCTCCTTGGCTTGTAGAGGGTGTCTTCTCCCTGTGTCCTCACAGGATCATCCCTCTGTGCATGTCTGTGCCCCAATCTCCTCTTCTTATCAGGACCCAAGTCCTATTGGATGAAGCCCCACCTCAGCCACCTCAGTTTAACTTAATTGCCTCTTTGAAGGTGGTATGTCCAAATACAGTCCCTTCTGAGGTCCTGGGGATTAGGGATTCAGCATGGGAATTTGGGGGGACACCATTCAGCCCATAATAGCAGAGGGGTTGGGTCACCCGCACCCAGAAGGAAAGGGGCACAGCGTGGGGTTGAGAGGCAGGCAGGGGCAAACCTGCCTGGCGTCATCAGACTGCCGGGCACAGGGATAGATGCGCGTTTTGATGAGACCCGCGGTGGTCCCCGGAGAAAGGACTGTCAAGGTGCAAGAGTAGGGAGGAGGATCGGGGAGACCCGGCCAAGCCGAATGACAGTGTGCATGCAGGCTGGGGAGGGGGTGACAGGAAGGGCCGGCCCAGAGGGATCGGATCATGGAAGACATCCACGGGGTGCAGTCAGCAGGCCTTGGGCTTCCTCGACGTGGGGTGTGCAAAGCAGGGCAGTGCTCCACTGAGCATGGGGACAGGAAGGAGCAAGGAGGAGAGCAGGGGCTGCCTTCCTTTCCCTCCTATCTGCCTTTCTCTCCTTCCAGTTATTTTTCACCAGCCCTCAAGAACCCCTTGCACTGTAGAAGGACTGGCAACGAGTAATCACCTCTGGAATTCTGATGCCTGTCACTGCATCATTACAAGTATTCAGAGCTCCACGGCTCTCTGCTTGGGACCCCACACTCACCACCCTGTCTGACCAAATGCAGAGTTTTTATTTCTTAACACAAAAGCTTTGGATCAGCAATTCTACACCCACACACGACAACTTGTATTTAATATCTGGAAGCAGATATGTCATAAGTTGCTAACATCCAAAACGGCTTGTTCACATTTAATTAGGTATCAAAACAATACTTTCTGGTACTGTGTCTTGTGCAAGAAAATATCATTAAACTTCAGCTGAGCATGTGCTCCTACGAGCTGAGAAACAAGCTGCACAGCCCTGTGGCATTAGCTGCAAATTCGCAATGGAAATTAATCTCTCATTTCACTTGGCTTTTTTATAGTGGCTTTTGACCAAGAATAGCTATCACCTTAATGTGCAATGCTTTCTTTTCTTCCCATAGCAATTTATTGATGTTAGCAAAGACTTCGGTGAGCAGTCTTGGCAAAAACAAACAAAAACAAACAAAAAACAAAAACAAAAAAACCCCACATTTCTTTCTTTCTGAAATCATTGTTTCTTTAATAGTGGAGTCATCAATTGTACGATTTTTTAAATTTCTCAGAGATGAAAATAGAGACCCCTACGTAACTGTAGAGGGGACTGTTATTTGGCGAGCAATCTAACATCATCAAAATCTGAAATCCATGTATCTCTAGCCCAACAAGTCCATCTTAGCAAATGGCTCATATATTTGCACACATATGCGTATAGGCAGCAAATTAGATTTTGAATAAGGATGTTTATTGCAGTATTTCTTGAGAGCAAAAGCCTGCTGTGGACAGCCTGAACACCCATCAAGTTAGGTGAACTGCAGGGCACCATCACAATGGAATATTTTATGTCCACACAAAACAATAGGCAGGTCTATGAGGTGGGATGCTCTCTAGGAAGTGTTGTTGAGGGTATTGTGGTGATGTCTGTTTATTCAAATATCGCATGAATACAGATGCCCCTATGTGTGTAAAGAACCCCAGAGAGGGACACACAGACATTATTGAACTTGGGTCTGGGTGAAGGGGTACTGTGGAGTCCTAATTAGGGAAAACAAGTCAGGTTGGCAGGACCAAGGAAAAGAAACAGAGGAAGCAGATAAGCTCTAAGTCTGCCTCTCTTCATGGTCCAGGGCACGTAGCCCTCCTGTGCAGGTAACTCACCTACAATCTTCCTGTGCCTAATTTATCATCAAACAATTCAACGTCTCATCAAATGCCTCAGCTGATAGAAAAATGCAAGTTAGCTCACTGCAACCTGGGCATTATCAGTACTTCCCTCTCCAGCACAAGCACCATCCTATAAAATCCCCAGCAAGCCTTCATCTCCTGGCAGCCAGTTCCTCTCTTGCTGCCCTGCCCATTGCTTTCTTGCAGCATATTTTCCTACTTTCTCTAACAAATCTGCCTTTCTTTGCTGGCACCTGTCTTGGGAAATTCTTCTTACCCCTGCATCACCAGCCTCAGATAGTCACTGATCACCTGCAAAATGTACTGAGGAAGTAACATGACTTATTTTCCAATATATATAATTGTATTCTTTGTGAAAATGTTTTTTGGTTTGTAATCATTACTACTTTTTTACGTTAAAATGTTTGGAAAGAGCTCTCTGTCTCTCAGCTTAGGTAACAGAAGTAGAAAAACCAAGAAGGTGTATAAAAAGGCTTTGTGATGTCAGTGATGAGACAGGGTCAGGGTTGAGTCAGCGCTAACGTAAGTCACCATTCCCCTCTCAAACTGAGCCAGTACAGTAGGAGTTCCCTTTACGTTTAATGAGCAATCACCCTCAGTTATCTTTTTATTTTTTGCAGGAGGGGGTTGGATGAGATGTTGAGTGTGTGTGACATGACAGTCAGAAGGCCAGGCGGGGGGCGGGGAGGGACCCCGCTGGGCTGCTGCTTTCCTGCCACAGTGATGTTTTCAAGCCACCAATGTACCTTCCATTTCCATTGGTGCAGATCTCAGTGAGAAATGCACCTGCCCTCGGAGCCATCCCTGAGTGTTGTCTGGGGGAATATGGCAGCTCAGGGTCTCCAGCCCTTCACTGCCCATCCCAAGGTCTGGAGCTTGGAATGGGACCCACATGAACCGGGTCAGGGAACAGCAGGGGAGGTCAGGGCAGCAACGAGGATGTCCCCAACTCTGCCCACCCATGCCCAAGGCTGCAGCTCCCACTGGGGTCCCAGCCCTGGCCAAGGGTGCAGCCAGGCTGAGTGCACCATGAGGTGTGAGGCTGACAGTGGGACAGGGTGGTCAGAAGAGCCCACAGGCTTCACTGGGACTCAACCCCCCAGGTCCCCACTGGCTGTTTATGTCCAAAAATACGAATCAGCACAGTGACTCCCTCACATCCTGCTGCCCAGACAATGGGACAACACGAAGGCTTCTTTTTGGTTATATTGTTTTACTTAAAATAATTGTGTTTTGAGGCATTCCTTTACCCTATATTTGAGGAGAAATGATATTATAAGCAAAGTGCCATCTGCTCAGAGCCTTTAAAAGTAGGCTGTGAATCCAACGGCATATGTGACAAGCAAACATTTCAACTGCTCCGTTTAGAACTGTCACTGTATACGCACTGGCAACTTTAATATTTTCCTCTTCAAGCTTCATTAATCTGGAAAGGAGTGGAGGCACATGGTGGGTGGTTTTCCCCCCCGGCCAGCAAGGGTGTGACTCCTGTGGCACCTGAGCCCCCTCCTGCCCGGCCCTGAATCCTCATCACAATTCACGGCTGAGCTGTCTCCAGCCTTGGACCCGGGGGTCTTTATACTCTTGGCAGGAAAATCCTTGTCCTCAATTTTTTTTTTTTGCAGAAAAAAATATGATTATTTAAATAATTTAATGCGTTTGCACTATTAAAAATTTATTTTTGAATCTAATGCATAACTTTAATCTCTTATAAAATCAATCAAAGAGAATAATGAGGCTGTCTTGGTGGTGCCAAAGTTTAAGTCTGAGAATTTTGGATCGCAGCTTTATTATTATGTTAGCTTTGAGATCCAATCAAGTCCCAAAGATAGCTGTGTAAGAATATGCAAATAGTGGCCATATTTACGAGATGACTCACAATTCAGGAAACTCTTCCTTTACTTAGGCAGGGAGGAGAAGCCACCTCTGGAGTCCCTGTGACAGAAATGTCACGCCTGGGCGTGGTGGCTCACAGCTGTAATCCCAGCACTTTGGGAGGCTGAGGTGGGTGGATCACTTGAGTTCAGGAGTTTGAGACCAGCCTGGACAACATGGTGAAACTCCGTTTCTGCTAAAAATACAAAAATCAGCTAGGTGTGTTGGCACATACCTGAATCCCAGCTACTAGGGAGGCTGAGGCAGGAGAATCGCTTGAACCCAGGAGGCAGAGGTTGCAATGAGAGGAGATCATGCCACTGCACTCCAGCCTGGGTGACAGAGCGAGACTTGTCAAAAAAAAAAAAAAAAAAGGCAATGTCATGACCCATGGGAGGCAAGAGGGACTCAGGCTCTCAGTGTGCTGACTGCAGCTGGGAAGTAGGCCATAGGATACAAATAACGTGTTAAAAAAAATGTAATTTCTTCATTTTAGACTTTGATCACAATTAGTTAGCTGAAACTTTCACGTGTCAAAGTTCAACATATTTATTGTTTGGAATGATCATTTGCTAGAGAAATCAACAATAAACATTTGTTAATGTTAATATGATACTTATAATAGTATCCTTAATTAACATAAGTGATATCATATTATTCTTGTGCCCACCACATAAAACGGTCTAAGACAGAGCCTTTGACCTTAAAGTGTCTACAACTTAATTAGCAAAATAATGCTTGCAGAGAGAGACAAGCCAGGGTGCACCATGGCATCAGCTAATTGTGTGCCGGAAGCCCAGCGGGTTCACAGTCCCGTACGTTTCCTTACTCATGTGACGAGGGAACGTTCGGCTACTCCTGGAAGATTGATGGGCTCCATCAGCAATCCACAGCCTTGTTTCTTATCACGCAACCACCATTAGACCTTCCCCTACTTTCACACAAATTAACTGCTCATCAGTTTCCTGATTGCAAGAGCTTGCGGCAGCTGTAGTTTTCAAGGTATGCTTCCTTCAAACCTATTTGGTTCTCACTCTCCCAGCACATGATCCTGTCCTTGTTCGACTCAATTGATTCATTCCAACCAGTTTATGACCGAGCCATTCATTTCATTTAACCGCCGGCCCAAGCCACAGAGAACCCCCGCCGAGGCCTTGGCCCATCCCCTGCCCCTGCAGATCGATGGCCCAGCTATCAGCACCGCCCTGAAATTAAAGTGCTGCTTCCCCTAACCAGCCTCCATGGGTTTCTGTTTTTGTTTTTGTAGAGACTTTTTGAAGAAGCAGGTGAAAAGCCTAATAGCCCTCAAATACCAAGATTTATTTCACTTGGAAGTGTTTATCCTCTCAGGCCTGATTCAATTTAAAAGGAAAAGAATGGGAAACAGATTAACAGAAGCCAGTCCGGGAAGGCTGAGCCACTGGAGTGGGTGTGGGAGTGTCCAAGCCAGGCAGAGTCCACATTGCAGCCCATCCGTCCCGGGCAGAGGCCACCCAGCCACGTCCGCCCTGCACATACTCAGCCTCCCCCACTGGAGGGCTGAAGTCCTTGTTCCCCCAGCCCAGCCCCATGGGGCACAAGTGCTGGCTGCATTTTCCATGATGATCTCCATCAGGACCTTGATTCCAGCCAGGAGAGGTCTGGGCAGGACCCTTGGGGTGTCTTCATTTCTTTAAAGACGTGCTGAGAAACATCTGAGTCCCTCCTGCGTCGCCTCCCTTTTCTCTGTTGACTTTGTGCTGTATGCAAAGTGAGAAAGGTCAGTCCACATTTTAATGTAGTAAGCAAAAACCTAACAATGGCTTTGAGTTATTTCTTACATTCCATTTTATGAGGGAATGAGAATTTATAGAATTTTGTTCCAGAGAAAATTCTAAATTTTCCCAAGGATTCAGCACCTTTACAAATATATTATTTCACTCTGTGATGGATTCGGTACCTGCCTGTTATTTAGAATTCCATGTGTCAGGTACAAGGCACAGGAAAGAGAAGAAGGGGGAAAGGTGAAGCTGTACCCATGAAATCGCATGTATGGAGTCATTCGTGTTGCTCGGTGCTGAGGATTGACTTTGTCACCCAGGGAGTCAAGTTGATCTTGGTGTGCTCATTCAGGTGGCCGCTGTGTCTCTGTCCTTCTTTCTCTGTCTCTATCTTCCTCACAGGCACACATTCACACAAACTCACACACACACTCACGCACTCACCAACACACATGCTCACACAGCTCGCACCCCGGGCTGCTGGCTGGCAGACATGCCCTGCTCATAGAAAGAGAATCTGGCTTCATTCCTTAAACTGCATTACTGCTGGCCCTCCAGACTCGACATGGTCCTGTCCGGTCTTCTCCCTCCTCCTCATCCCACAGTCCCCACCCACCCATGAGCAAGGATGACAACCCACACTCAGAACTCACACTATCCTTGGCTTCTGGGTCCACTCTGACCACCCACTCATGAGCATGGATGAGGCCCCCACTCGGAACTTGCACTATCCTTGGCTTCCAGGTCCTCTCTGACTTCCCACCTGTGAGCACAGACAAGGATAAGAACCCACACTCAGAACTCACGCATTCCTGAGCTTCTGGGTTTGCTCTGCTGCCCATTTATGAAGCATTTCCATCGCAACTTTTCAAACTGCAAAATCTTTTGGTGAAATCAGCTTTTCCCGTTTGCCAGAACCTGACCTGTCTCAGCACCATTTAATAATTAAAAATAAAACAACAGTTTGGGGTTTACAAAATAATCAAAATGAAGGGCTCAGAGTGGCTAAAAAGTGGTTAAAACACTATTGCCATTTGGTGAGACATATAAACCTTTAGTTAAGGGACAAGAGAAAAAGGAAATCTAGAACTTTCTACAATCCAGTTAGACAGAAATATCTTAAGAAAAGTGCCCCATTCATTCTTTCTGTTTGAAAAGTTCCAGGGACTATTATTATGTTATTCCAGATATAGAGAATATATATGTGTGTGTGTGCATACAGAAATACATTTTTCACCACAAAGTTTTAACTTTGAATCTTATAACAAACACTTCACATTCTATGTTTCTCTGAGTTCTGAAAAAAAAGTGTTTTTAGGTTTTCGTACAGGCCCTGGAAGTTTGAATGCATTAAGAAAACATTTAGTAGCTAAGAAAGATGTCTTTAGTTTTTCCACCATCTTCTCAGAAAACTTCTCTAAGAAAGAAGTCTGTTTTTCTGTCATGGATTTCAGAGGAACGTTATTTTGGACTTAACACCTTGGAGTCTATAGATGGAGTTTTCTTCTGTGCTTTGAAGGATCACTCCATAGTTTGCTTCTCCTATTTAAATTCGTTAAGATGTGCTTTTGAAACGCACTTCACTCCCTGAAGAGGGTCTTATCATTGTCTCATTGTGATCACAGCGCACAGGCATCCACACTAGTGTGGGATCCCGGCTCTTTGGCGGTGGTCTTTCACGCACACCGGAGCCACCCTTTGCACAGTCCTTTTGAGAGGGCACCTTTCGGTGCAGTCTCCTCTGACTCAGGGAGGCTCCGTTTACAGAGTCCACCCCTCACATCCGGCCTCGGACTCAGCCCCACCGCCTTCTTATGTGATTCTTTTCCTTGCCTGCGTTTCTCTGCTCATCCAAACCAAGCTATCATTTCCAAGCTACAATTTCTTCAGAAACAGTCATGATGTCTTTTTCTCTCCTTTCTATCCATCTTGGTATCTCAAAATAAGATCTGTGTGTAAGGCTGACCCACTAAACATTTGCCATGACCCGCTCTGACTCGGCGACAGTTACCTGGTGAGTCTGGTACAAAAACACCAAGTGTTTCTCCACCAGCATCCATTCTGGGCACAAAGACCCAAGCGGATCTGAGGGCAAACAGACTCCACTCCCTGCTTCGGACCCCTTGACCCTGTGCATTGCAGCCTTCAAGGAGTTCACCCAGAAACTGGGAGTTTCTGAACTTTTCATCACTGCAAAATCTTTCGAGCTCACTACTTCTTCTGCCTTTCGAATAAATTAAGAAGTTTTTCATGTGAGTTTGTTTGGTTTTCTTCTTTCCATACCTCGCTTCATCCTTCTAGAGTCATGTTCCCCGAAATGTGCTCAATCAGGTCAGTTGGATTCCTTATGAAGCACATTTTTAAAGTTCTCAGAAATAAGATTTAATTTAGAACCAAGAGATGCCCAAATCCTCGGAAAAGTGAATTGCATCTGGGGTCAGACCTATCTCGGTAGGAATGCTAGCGCTATTTGTTTCTCCCTATGTGAACTCACACAAATATCCCACTGTTCTCCTCTGTGAATGAGAAATCATGTCTATCCCATAAGTAAAGCATGAAAAGCACACAAAACATTGTCTGCAGCAGCATAGTCATCTCTGCTTCCACGCAAATGAAGCTGTGATGAATGACAACGTTCGATAACCACGTGCTTCTTAGCCCACCTCCGCGGTGCTGTGTTACCGCCGGCATTCGGGCTGTGTTTAAAGAGCTGTATCAGGTGTTGGCCTCATGGGCTTTGCGGCCTCTCACTCTCTCATCTGCAGCCCTTGCCACAATGGTACTGAATGCCATGAGAACCCATCTGCCCCTGGCCGTCTGCATTACATACTGATTTAAATATTATTCTGTTTCTGTAAATATGTGCAATTTAAATTTCTTACAGTCACCGTAATGTTCTCAACCCCTTCCCAGGACACGCCTGGCCACGGTGTTGGGGGACCCCTCTGCTCTCTGGTCTTGCTAACGGAGGCTGTGAGTGACACAATGCGTTTGAACCCTGAGAAGCAGTTGAGTGACGCTAACTGCAGTGGGAGATGCAGTTGCCATTCGGAAATTACACCCTGAACCCGGCTTAATCCCAGGTTGCACAGAAAAGAATGGCCAACCGAGGGGATGAAGCAAAGAGACTACCCAATACCCGTGGTCCTTTCGGGTCTCTGGTTTGGGGTCATTTTTGCTTGGTTGGTTGGTTTCTAAGACCGACTTTCAGGGGATACTGGTTTCCTTAAAGTGCAAATGGCTTCCCAGGCAGCTTTCTTCATTTGGCAGATCATCTGGCTGCCATTCCTCTAGGCGAGACCCTCAGTGGCTCTGCAGAAGCATGGGAGGAAACCCGGGAGGGGCACAGACACTGGTCCTTCCTTTGCATCTGAGCTTGTGGATGAGCTGCTGGCTTCGTGCTGAGGCCTCTGGGTCTTCGACGCCCAGTGCTCTCTTATTCCTCCATGTTCTTCCATCTTTGTGGAGCTCTCATTCATGATTTTTGCACCTGACTGACTGCAACTCTTCCCTTCATGAGTCAGGTTAAGTGATTCTGTTTAAGAAAATAGATTTCAAAGCAATTTTAAATATCTCTTTGTGCCAGCACCCAGGGTCTGCATGGCACATAAATATGCGTCTGTTAAAGAAAGAATGTTGTATTCTGGCTGACAGCACCGAAGCTCGGGAATTTCATTTTGCCATGCCCTGCTGTTGCCCCACCTGTCCACACTCAGGTGCCCTCACTCCCTGCATAGATGCACCCTCACACCCTTGAGTCTCTGCGGAGTGTGCTGCACTTTCACCTACGACTCTGTGGCTGGGAGGATTGCTCGCAGGGAGCCACACCAAACACCCGGGCCTCACTGGGTGACGGTATTTGATTGCATGTAAAATGCATGTTATCAGGCCCCATTGTGAAGTTGGACTGGGCTGCTTGAGAGTAGCAGTAGCCCTGTGTGCAGCCACAGGGTCTCTGAGAGCTCTGCTCACTGGAGGATTGCAGAATAGTGGAGCTCTTAGAAACCACAGGACCATGCCCTGCGATCACCTCATTTTACAGGTGGGAAAACCATGACCCTGAGGCCAAACAATTTGCCAGAGTCACATGGATAATTCATTGCAGAGCCAGGACCAGAATCTAGGTGGCCTAATTCCTGGTTTAGGGTTTTTTTTTTTAATATTTTTTAAGCTATATTAGTTTGCCTCTTTAAGTTCTAGACTTTCTCGTCACAGGAAGAAATGGAGTCATAACAGGCCTAACAATATTTTCTTTGAGAACTTTCTTCCACAAGTTGTTGGGAAAAAGGACATTAAGAACCATACCACATGTGTTCTGGTTTAGAATAGACTGCTTCGAGGAAATGAATTTGAGAGAAATGCATTCTGCTCTGCATGGCTTGGACATAAAAATTATTTCATTGCTACTACAAGGTAAACTTTTTCTCCCTGAGCAAAATAAATCAGCTAAAAAAGAGTTGGAGGTGTGTCTGCAGGCGGAGGTAGCTTCTGTAACGAGAAGACTACACTTCATTCCTAAGATGAGGTTGCTGCGTCCTTACATTATTCCTGTCCAGGGGCTGCCTTCAAACCTGACGCTTCCCACTTCTCTCAGGCCCATTTAAGTCATGACTCCAGGGGGGTCCCTAACCCCTTGTTTATAGACACACATCCGTCACTATTGGCGTGAGAATACTGTGTTCTACTACGGAGTTGCCCATTTCTGGCCAGAACAATTAAGATTATTATGGGATCTGATGAGGATTCAGTCCCCTGCTGCAGCCTTCGTAGACTATAAAAGGAGAGTTTTTATTTTTCAAGTGTATGTGTGTGTCCTGAAAACTCACCCCAGGGTCTGGCATGACCCAAACATGCCTGTTACGTTGAGTTACCTCTAGCCAGAAGCCAGCATCAGACATTTTCCCCAAGCACACTCACAGTGAATTATTAAAGCAAAACTGTCCTGAAGATTTGGGAGGAGGTAATAAATGACAGATGAGCCTTTCTCTAATAAAGCTGTAAATATCTTCACTCGCTCCTTCAGTCCCTCAGTGGATGCCCTGTTCTTGGGACTCTTTGGTGGAGAACACTGTGGGAAAATACCCTAGGCTCTGTCTCCACTTCCAAAAGCGCCCACACACACAGATAATGCAGCCTGTGGGAAGTGCATGGCCCGGGAGTCCTGGCAGGTGATGGGGACCAGCCCTGGCTAAGACGATCAGCAGTCTTTACGGAGGACACTGTACTGCCCCCTGTATGTATGTGGGTGGAGAAGGGTGTTGATGGGCAAAGATGGAAGCAGATGAGGGAGGACCCAAAGGTTATTTCAAGCAGGAGAGGAAAAGGAGGAGCTCAGGAACAGAGTATGGATGATGAGAGAATGCTTCAGAATTGGCCAGAACACCAAGCAGTTTGTATGAGTGGTGGATTACACAGGAAAGAATAGGTAGGGCAGTTTGTATGAGTGGCGGATTACACAGGAAAGAATATGTAGGGCAGTTTGTATGAGTGGCGGGTTACACAGGAAAGAATATGTAGGGCAGTTTGTATGAGTGGCGGGTTACACAGGAAAGAATATGTAGGGGAATGGGTGCCAAGCAAACAGGCTGGGGAGGCCTGGGGGAGTGGGGTCGCTGGCCACGGCACTGGAGCACTGCCTGGCAGGTTAAGTGGCTAAGGCTGCTCTGGGCCTGCTGTTGACTGGAGTCTGTGGGAAGGGAGCTTCCTGCCTTTGAACATTTCTAAGGGGGAGAAAGTGCAGCGTGCCAAAGGAATGTCAGCAATGTTAAGAGTGACAACCCACAGACTAAGGAGGAACGGGCTTTTCCAGTCGTCCAGGCAGCAGGCATCCCCTGCACTCAGTTTCCGTGTTGAGCCCAAGCGATCCAGTCGTTGGAACATCTCCTCATTCAACGACAGATCGTGGCACAGTGGCTTAGACGCCGCGTGTGTGTCAGAACAGTCTGCAGCTGTACACTCTGGAAACCGGAGTGCTCCTGGGGGACAGTGCTCTTCATCCTGTAACTGGAGCTCTTCCCACCATGGCCATAATGAGGCATTAACATAAAAACACCTCAATTAGCCAGGTCACATGAAATGAGATTTTAAGGGCCCAGGAGTTGCACCAAGTGGCACCCGATCACCTTGACTGAAATCAGCCATTCGGTCCAGGACAGATTTCAAGCCAAAATAATAGCACAAGGGTAAATCTCTCATTACTAATTCCATTTATGCAAAATTCTAATTAGCTCTGCTTGGAAAGATATGTGTCTGATGAGACAATTCAGGGAGGGAAATAGAGACTCCTTGGCTATTGTGGTGCCCGGCACAGGATCTCCTCTAAATAGGGTGCCCACATTATTTATCACCCAAACCAGGACACTCGGAAAAGTGAGAGAGGGCACTATTAATAATGAGGCCAGGATAGTCCCCAGCTGCTGGAATGTGTGGTCGCCCCTCCAAGGATGAAGGAGAGGGCAGCTCCTCGATGCCTTTTCTCTCTCCACAGCTGGGTTATCTTCGGAAAGATGAAACACCAACTGCCCCATATTTGCTGTTTAAAGCTGCCTCTCTGGAAATGGGGCCCAGGGCCTGCACTTCTTATTGTGAGAATTGCCCCAAATCGTGACTGATGGAAGCTGATGGGAAAGGACAGGAGAACTCACTCGCTCATGTCTGCATCCAGTGGGCATTGGCCTGAATGCCCGTGAGGGAGCCAGCACCACCTCTAGCCACGTGGGCACCTGTACTCTCTCCTCCTCTGTGCTAGGACATGTCTTACCTGGTGGGCAAGACAACCCCAGGCAGCAGGGTCCAGGAGGGACAAGTGCCCGGGAGAGGGGGCTTGGTGGAGAAACGAAAGCAGCTTCTCGGTGTTGGAACAGCCGAGATGTGGAAGGGAAGGGGCCACACTTACTGCCCAGCTGCACCTCGGGCAAACTCCACAGTGGAGTTACCTGCAAGCAAAGGTGCTCTCCTAAAAAGAACTGGGCCCCTGGCTGTGAACTACGGCAGCTTGCTAACCATACCAGACCCGTAAAAGGGACTCCAGGGAGGGTAAAGCACCCCCAAGTCTTTTCAAGCTCTGAGCTTTCAAGATATTGTAGAGGATAAAAAGCGACTTGAAAAGGAGAGAGCCAGCAGGTGAGAAGGAGATGCAAGCCCAGGCAGCCCCCCTGCATGCCCCAAAGTTCTCGGTGACCTTGAGTGTGACCCTGTGTTCGTTACTGTCCTGAGTGCTGAAAGGGAAGGTGCGCAGACGCTCACCCCAAGGACACTCAGCCCGAGGATGCTCACCCCGAGGTCACTCACTCCGAGGTCCCTCACCCCGAGGATGTTCACCCTGAAGACGCTCACCCTGAGGATGCTCACCCCGAGGACGCTCACCCCGAGGTCCCTCACCCTGAGGATGCTCACCCCGAGGACACTCACCCTGAGGTCGCTCACCCTGAGGCCACTCACCCTGAGGTCCTGTGGCATTGCCCTGGGCATTTGCTGGGTGACCGACCCCTCAGCCAAGCCCCTGCCATCTGCACTCACCCATTCCTTTGGAATTTGAAGCCACAGAAATTGGCCTTTAAAACCACTAGGCCTGTGGTGTAGTTCCAATTATCCAGTTTGTTCCCTTGGTGTCTCCTGGATGTCAGAATCCAAGTTTACAGGGAAGAATTGGAGGAAAAAGCATGCTTGTAACCATGTGGTCGTTCTCTGCTATCTGTGAAAAGACATAAAGCCTTATTTACTGAATACAAAATACATGCTAAAAGAGCAACTGACCTGGCTTCCTAGGGAGAGTGAGGGAAGCCTGGCCTGCCGGCTGTCCCTCAGCAGGAGGTGGGACAGAGCCTGGATCTGCAGAGACAGAGCAGCCTTGCCGAGTTCAGCCTGTGTGTGTTGCGACCAGGGCAGGTGCAGGAGCCATGGGCACAGCTGCTCCCCTCTGTGACAGCCAAAGCTGAGTTATGCAAATACATAGCTGTAGTGTGGATCTAAAAGGTAAAAAGTGAATCCAACAACAGGTAGACAGCCGCCTTCTTGAGCTCCAAATCCATGATGCACCAGCAGGCCAGGAGGAGCTCCACCTGGCAGGAATGTGGCTTTGGGTCCCGGCTAGGACACTCCTGCCTTCTTCCTAGGAGGTCCCATTGTTGCCCCTCCCCAGGGCTCCTCTCATCTGGGACCCCCTTCAGTGTGGCTGACAGCCCTGCACACCCCTTCCTGGGCAGATGTTCACCTCCGCCCAACCAGGCAGCACCAGCCCAGCCCCACCCAGTACCAGCATGTTCTATCATTTAGGGGAGGCTCCCTTTAAACAAACCTTTTGCACCTGTTTCCATCTTGCAAGCCTAAAACAAGTCCTGCTGCTGAAGCATAGAGTGGTCCGAGTCGGCAGCTTCAGTTTAAGGACTCTAGTGAGGAATTCCTCCAAAGGCACTAAACAAACACAGCTACAAACAGAAATTGAGCCTTCGGAAGGAAACAGTTATCTTGGTCTGAACCTTCATGTGCAGGTTTTCCACTCCAAGCCTGCTCCTTTATTATTCTTTAAATTAAACTAAGCATGTTGATGAAATGGCCTCAGGCCCTGAGCCTTGCTCCTTAGTGCTGGGGTGAAGCGGATGTGTAAGCTGCCTGATAAGTGTGAAGGGTCCTTGTTTTCCAGAACAGGCAGGTCAGGGGGGCTCCTCCCCAGATAGAGGGTCTCCCTGAAAACAGGATTGGTGCTGAAGAAATGTGTGGGCCCTCCACTCCACAGTGACCCATGAGGTCTGAGTTTCTGACACTCACTGGGCCTCACCCACCTTCTCTCCATCCTCTTCATGCTTCCCCTGTGACCATCACTTCACTTCCTTGAAACACTCTTTCCATCTTAAAAAAAATTAAAATGAATAATACGAGTGTCCGTGGAAGTAGGGTCTTTGGAAGTTTTTAAACAATCACCTAAATATTTCTAAGACCCTCTTCTTTCATTCCCATTAAACTTCTAAACAATTGAGAT